>NC_000006.12:817575-969090 GCF_000001405.40 Homo sapiens | reverse complement strand
AAATTGCATGTCCAACACTTAAACTGGGATTCATGCATGGCTGGCTGCTCTGCGATTGAAGGGTAAGGTGGGGGTGGCTGCCAAGCTGAGAGCTGAACATCCAAGCCTTACTCTGGAAGTTGAAAGCCTTTGGATAGACTCCAGAGTTCCGAAATAGCTACATCAGGCAGATCCCGCCAGGGCAACAGTTGTCTAGGTGGGGAGATGGATCCCCGGTGCTTCCCCCTCTGCCATCTTCCCAGAGCCCTCTTCATGACTCTCTTTTTTCTCATTTCTCCTACCTTGTTTTTATTCATCAAGATCATGCTTTGATTCTGCAAAAATGTCTTTAGCATCTTGTTCTGGTTTCTTAAATCCAATATCTTATCTGCTTTTAGGAAAACTCCGATGGCAATTTTCTGGTTGTACTGATGCAGAGCAGGTGAGCCCCACAGTGGGCTCAGCCTGCGAGGGTTCTTGGCCTTGTCCAGGAAGGAATTCGAGGGCAAGCCAGAGGCAGAAGAAAAGAGCTTTATTGAGGCAGCAGTGTGCGTCATGCTCTGTGACTGCTCCTGCAGGGCAGGGCTACCCCATAGGCACCGAGGAGCAGCTCAGGGCAGTTTTGCAGTCCCATTTATACCCATTTTTAATAACATGAGAGTTAAGGGGCAGTGTATGCAGAACTTCCAAGGGAACATGCGGGTTAAAGGGCGGTTTATGCAGAACGTCCTAGGAACATGCGAGTTAAGGGGCGGTTTATGCAGAACATCCTAGGGAAGGGTAGTAACTTTCGGGCCATCGGGTCTTCTCATGGAAAGGGTCAGTAACTCGCGGGTATTGCCATGGCGATGGTAAACTGACTTGGCATGCTGGTGGGCCTGTCTTATGGAAAGCTGTTTCTACCCCATCCCTGTTTTAGCAAGTCCTCATTTGGTTCCGTGTCCGAGCCCTGGCTCCAGAGTCAAGCCCTGCCTGCTGCCTCAGTACCTCTTGAACTGGTTAGCTGGTCAGGTTTCCCACAGAAAAATCAAACCTGGTCTAGGACAGAACTTTTCATGTGATATAATTTACAACCTCCCTCTTGGAAGAAATGTGAATTCCTGATCAAATGTTTAAGCAGTTAGGCGGTAAAGTTTAATGGAATTGAGATCTCTTCCAGGACACTGGCTTCTCACCCCTCAGTCTGTCAGCCGGGTTGATGATTTCTAACAAGACATTCTTTATCTTATAGTCAGGCTGAGAGATCTCACTTAGCCTTTTTCATTAAAATGTTCCTAGCAAGGGTTAGTATTTCAGGAGGCTTGTCTCAGGTTTCTTTCCTTAGAGCAAGTTTGAAATGAGTTTGTCACATGCTCATCGCTAAATGACGTGAATATTTTAAATCATGCAGTCAGTGAGGTCCCTTGCTTTGGGTATAGCACAACTATGCCTAGAGCCCTGTTCCAGGGACTCTGTTCAGAGACAAAGCCTCCGGAGTTCAGCCCCACTAGGGGGGAGGCAGGCACGTGGAGGTGGCGGGGGTACCGAGGGATTTATCTGCTCTCAGATTGCTTCCACAAACCTCCTTATATCAGCCACCCTCCCTTCATCCTTCCCCCCAGGAAACTCTAGTGCTGCTAGCTTTCCCCACTTCTCAGGTAGCCACTGCCATACCAGGTGTACTTGTCTCAGGACCACGAAGCCTGTCCCGTCTCCGCTGACCTCCCAGCTCCCACAGCTTGGCTTCTCTGACCCTTTCTCCTTCCCATTTTGACCGTCTCCATGTGCCCATGTGCTTCTGCCCTTTTTCCACGAGTTAGTAAGTAAGGTGTGGAGAGCAGCATTCATGCCAGCTGCCCCTGAAACTTCTCTTTCTTGTTTATAGTTTTGTCTCCTCCAACCGCCCCCAGCCAGTATTCCAAAGCCTGATATACTTTGGGGAAATATCCTCAATTTAAAAATTAAAAAATCTTTTGTAAACCATAGGGCTCTTATTCTCCTTTCATCGTGTTTCAGTGTTTTCTTCTTTACCTGAAGGTCATTTCATCTTTACTTTGTTTGAAATGGCGCATTTAATAAGCTCTCCTGGGTTATCCTTCGCTTCCTGGACTCAAATGCCCCAACTCAGGACTTTCCAATCTCTTCACAAGGATCAGCCCCTTGGAAACCAAAGCAGAAATGTACATTTCCATGCCCTTTGCTATGGGTGTTGCTTTCTTTTTACCTGACTATTAGCATAAACACGCATTAATACTTTTTCACTTAAATGTTACCAAAGAAAGGTCCATTGAAAAATGGGTACACATCCCGACGCTTTAGGAGGCTCAGGCAGATTACTTGAGCCCAGGAGTTTGAGGCCAACCTGGGTAACGTGATAAAATCCTGTCTCTACAAAAAATACAAAAACATTATCCAGGCGTGGTGGCACATGCCCGTAGTCCCAGCTACTTAGGGGGCTGAGACAGGAGCATCGCTTGAACCTGGGAAGTTGAGGCTGCAGTGAGCCATGATCATGCCACTGCACTCCAGCCTGGGTGACAGAGTGAGATCCTGTCTTAGAAAAAAAAAAGGTACTCGAGTCTTAGACCAAAGATTTTGTACTTCTCAGGCAAATATTTCTTTCAGGAACGTTTCTTGGTCTCCACGAAAAGCAGCTTAAGTGCTTCACACTCCCAGAGAGAGGGAAAGAGACATGGTAGTGGGGCGGCTACCCCATTAAAGAATGTCAGATCATCTACTCCAAGCCTTCAAGTTAGAGACAAGCAAAAGGAGACCCAGCAAGTTATAGTCGCACAGGGAGTTACAGCCATACAGGCCATTTCAGTTGCACAGATAGTTTCAGTCACACAGGCAATTACAGCTTCAAAGATCATTTCAGCCACACAGGTCATTTCATTTGCACAGCACGCTTCAGTCACAGAGCTAGTTTCAGTCACACAGGGTGTTTCAGCCACACAGGTAGTTACAATCTCACAGGACATTTCAACCACACAGGTAGTTACAGTCTCACAGGTTGTTCAGTCACACAGGTAGTTACAGTCTCACAGGGTTGTTTAGTCACACAGGTAGTTACAATCTCACAGGGCATTTCAGCCACACAGGTAGCTACAGTCTTGCAGGATGTTTCCGCCACACGGGTAGTTACAGCCTCACAGGGTACTTCAGCTGCATGGGTAGTTACAGTTTCACAGAGTCTCTCACCCACACAGGTAGTTGCTGTCTCACAGGGTGTTTTGGTCTCACAGGGTTCAGTCACATAGGTAGTTACAGTCTCACAGAGTGTTTCAGACACACAGGTAGCATCAGTCTTACAGGTAGTTACAGTCTCACAGAGTGTTTCAGTCACGCAGCTGGTTCCAGTCGCTGAGGTGGAACCACCAGCCGTCAGTGTCTGCCCTCCCTCAGAATGAAGCCATGGTGGCCATGGTTGACCAGAACGCGTGGCCTTGTCTGTACAAGCTCCATTTCTTCATGTGTCCCCATCACATTACACTTAGTGTCAGTGTTTCAGGCACCTTCATGCTTTTCCAAAAGTGTTTCATACCATTTCTCAAATGTTTTCAGTTTGGCCATATCCCAAATGTATTTTTGCCAAATTTCTTCCTCTTCAATCTGTCTACATTTCAAAGAAAATTTGAGCCATCTGTTTCTGTTTCATTGGCTTCATTGTTCAAAATTCTCTGTGGTAGAAACTAAGTGCAAGAAGTCTTTCAAATCTCTACTTAAGCCTTCCACACCTTTCTCTGAAGCACTTCATAACCAAAGGGTCTGTGGAATTAAGTTCTTATTAGAACACCTCATTTTAACTCAATGCCTTCCCTGTTTCTACTGGGATCGCACACCTGCTCACCAGTGAAATGTTAACTGGGAGATGAGTCTGGGGGAGCCAGGGCCCTTATAGCATGAGTGGATCACTCACCCAGATTACCCTCCTCTCCCTCCATGCCTAACCTGCTCTCTGTGTGCTTAGGGCATGTACTCCAGGAGAACACAGACAGCATCTCTTCTCTATATACTTCTCTGCGTTGGAATAAATGCAATAAAATAGGTGCCATTTATGTTGTTATACTAAAAATTAAAAGCAGAAGAATACAATGAAACTGCAATTCTCATTTTAAGCAAAATAAGCATACATCTAAAATGAGAAGTAGTTTGTTTCATACTAAATCACATTTATTAAGAATAGAAGGAACTTGGAATCAAATTGCATGTATATTTTTGTGTCCTGAAATCTTTTCATTCAATATTGTACCTTGGGCACTTTTATTAAACCTATTCTTTGAAAACATGGTTTTATGGCTATATTGCATTTAATTTTACAATTATCTTTTAAACTCTTTCCAATTTTTTATATTTATAAATCATGCTCTGTCTCAGAGGACTTGAGTAATTTATTTAACAGCTCCCTTAGAAGTTGGGCATTTTGGTTCTTACACATTTTCCCTACTACAAATAACAATTGATTCTTAATGGCATTAATTTTAAAACACATTAATTTTACTCAGTGAGAGGGTATAAAATAACTAAGAATCCATTTCCTGAGCCTCTCTAACATACTAGAGGAAAAATTAAGAGAGAAATAATAATTTCCATTTAAAAAGACAACTGGAAATTTTCAACCAAAAGATTAATCACAGTGATTAGCCAAAGAATTAAATCATGTGAAGAAAAAAATTTAAAAAATCTTCATTGAATAATGCATTTCAAGGTGGAGCTAGAAACAGATGCTGGGAATCATAGACGCATGATCCAGAAGGGCTTGTGAGCATGAGAGCACTGGACAAATAACGTCCAGGAAAGTCACAGAGGAAAAGTAACAACTCATAAACCAGTACAGCGGAACTGAATTCAAAAAGCAAATAATAATAATAAATCACAATTGTTTATAAAATGTGTATTTGATGAGAAAGATAAAAATAATGGTGAAAAATGACAAAGTAATGAGAGACCATAGAACAGGACTTAACAAGAGGGAGAATGTGAACTACCATGTGTGGATAATTCTGGATGTACAATTCAGATTCCGATGACATGTATCCTGAAACCTAGAGGTTGACAAGATTGCCAAACATTTTAAGCATTAAGGTAAAAGTTCACATGTAAGAGAAAAGCAGGGCAATTATTCTTCTGAAAGCAGACTGACAACAAACACAGAGTAATGCTATGAATTCCAGAGAAGCAAGTCTGCAGGCACACCCCAGCTAGCACGGGGAGAAGAAGGAGGAAGAATGGATGCTACTTAGACGATCCTAGTTTTTTTTGCTTGTTTGTTTGTTTGTTGTTTTAAAAGAGCAGACCTTGGCTTTGAATTCTTTGCTTACTGGCATATGACATAACTTTTCTGAATCTCTGTGTTTAACTTTGTAATGTGGAATTAGCAAAATCCACCCCACTTGCCACACAGAGTTTCCGTTAGGATGACGTTCCTTTGTAAGTTGTGAAGAGTCATATAAATGTGAGTTGATTTTGCGTCACTCATCTGAAGACGAGAGGGCTCTCTGGAGGCTTTCGACACTGAGAGGCCTTAGATGAGTCCCAGGGGCCAGGACGAGCCTGCCTAGCCTCTGCACTTTGTTGACCCAGATGCGAAAGTCAACATCCCTTCGAATTCCCCTAGATAGCCCATTCTTATAAGATCGTCAGGAACCAGTGTGAGCTTTATTGAAGATTCTTGATGTGAAGATGGAAGTGAGGCACACACTTCACATTAAACAGTCAAACCCACATGTGGCATTTCTGTCCCCGAGGGCTGCCTTGCTGTTCAAAACTGGCCCTTCTCTTCTCCATCCTAGGTGCCAGTCTTCCTCTCTCCTTTTCCATCTTCTCCTCCTCCTCTCTGTGTCCATAGAACATTCCGCCTTTCCCAGTTACTACTCCCAGGATTACAAACAGAATTGCTTCAGGATGCTCAGGAACATCGTACCCTTCCCATTAATGGGATGCACTCTGTTTTGAAAGCAGTTGGAATAATGGAGCAAAAACAAACAGCTAATGAAAAATAAATTTAAATAAAACCTTTTACACAGAAAACAAAACACTAGAAGAAATTTTACTACTTTACTGGAATATTACGCAAATAATCTGTTTATTAAACAAACTCTCATTGGTGTCCAAAGAAGAAACAAAACAAATTAAGTATCACAAGCAAGAGCATAAGAGGGAATGCCAAGTAAGTGCTCAGAGGGGGAGAGCCTTGACTATTTGAAACAAAAGACCCTGAATCTGTGACCCTCAAAGAATTCTTCTAGAATGCATAACCTTGTCAGGAAGAAACATGCACATAGGTAAAAAGTAAATGAACAATATGTGTATGAAATAGTGAGATTTCTCAAGACAGAAATGTAAGAGGTAGCTAATTATTAGCCAAGGAGGGGTTTAATCACTATGAGCCATGAGTTGAGAATAAGAAGAGATCATTGACGGCTGAAATCAACCGAGAAGCTTCATGGGAAAGTTAGACTTCAACGGCTCACGAAGGAGCTGTGGGGAGAAATCAGGGAGCAGGCATTTCACTAGGGGGCATGGTGTGGGAGGAACTGTGGAATGAGTGTTTGGGGTGCTGGCTTCACCAGGGGAGATGGAAGAGCTAGGACTGAACCCCTGCAGTGGAGAATCGTGAATGTCAGACTGGAGCCTATCCAGTAGGAAATCAATGCTCACGCACCGTGGTATGATGCAGTCGATGGCGTGTGGGGAGGCCAGTCTGATGAAGGAAGCATGCACCTGCAGGAAGGTAGGGAGATGAGAGGAGGCCGTGTTCTGAAGTACTAATTAAAGGATATATTTAAAATAGATGTAGTCCTATCAGTCTCCCTCAGTTCACTCTGCTTGTCCTTCCCACAGTGAATTTTAGGAAAATGACTCGATAACTGCAACGGTGATGTCATGTGTGTGTCTACTTTAGAGAGCAGATGGTCGATCTGGTGCTAATTTGCCCAATACGGTAGCTACGCGGCAATGAAATTCCAAAACTGGCACAAGGCGGGCCTGGTTCCAGGTGAGTGGTGGCCTGAGAAAACAGAAAAAAAGAAAATCTGCAAGCTGCAGCAATTGATTAGATGTGAAGATGGGGAGGTAAAACAAGGAAGGGGTCAGAGCTAACCCTGGGGTGAAAGTGAAAAGTGAGGGTGTCATGTCTGAAAGTGGAGGCATAGGAGAGGGATGGCCTGGGGAAGAAGGTGGGTACGTGGTGTGCTGGCTGGGACTCCAAATACGTGCAGCAAAGATTTTGAAAAGGGACAAAGAAAAGTCAGGCAACGCCAGGAAACGTGTCAGAGCTGAATATCACAGCATGTCTCCTAAGCCTCTCCCTCCCCAAATAAACCATGCCAACCCGGATACTCGCAGCTGGCATGTCCATTTGTGTCTGGAGCACTCCTGCCAGCCTGTGAAAGAAGTTCCTTGGAAAGTCCAGGCATTAATGCCACGGTCCATGTGGCTCCTGGCCCGGGGACTCTGATTCTAGGTCAGGGAGTTGCAGAGCCTGCGCTGTGGTCCCTGCTACCAGGCCTGCTGTGGGCCTGCAAAGGTGCAGGTACTTTCCCTTCCTGCCCAGTCCAGCTCCATAGGCAGCTCCTCCCAGGGGAGGTACAAAGGGTCCTGCAAGCTGGACGAGGCAAACAGGGGAGGGAGAGAAAGGGGAGATCCCCAGCCAGGTGAGAGAGTTAAAGCCCAGAGCTCCAAGCCTTACATGTCCAACCTGATGGGGGCAAGAGGAGGACAAACCCTTGCAGAGATCACTCAGTAAAAGTTGTTACTTTTTCCTTCCCAAAATGAATCCAAATGCCCTTCCTTGAGCTGCAGGATTTCCACGAAACTTGTGGGGCTACAGGCCAGTGGAACACTTCCAAAGGGCTTGACACCAGGCCAATGGCCTTCTTAGAACACTGTCATCATTGATTCTGTATCTACAGAAGTCATGTAACTGTGGCTGCCTCTTTTCAATGGAAACAGAGCGAAATACAACCTGGTCAGCTAAATCGTGCTGACCTTAAAAACACTGCATCCTCTTAGGCAACCACTTTGGCTTATAAACCACATGTACAATATTCCTGCTACTTCAAACATGACTTTTTTAATGAGCCAAAAAAAAAAAAATCTAAGTTTGTAAATAAACCGAATTCATTGCCATAATGTTTCTAGTCTGTAAAGAAAATAGCTACTCTTCAATGGAGCATGTATGGTTGTTTTCATCACTAAAGCATGTCATTTCATTAGACCACTCTGTAACACACCACCGCTGGATGTTTCACACTTGATATTGATTATTTAACTAATCATGTTTACTAAACTGGTCTCTACCTTTCCCCTCTTCTTCTGGTTGGATTTCATGCTGTCTGGGAGGACACAAAACCCCCTTGCACATTTGTCTTTAATGAAGGAGAAGTTAAGGAAGATCATTGTGTAAGGGTAGAGATAAATGACGATGGCAAAACTCAAAAAGAATAGAACGAAAGTCACCGGCAAGATTACTTGTCGGTCTGCACAAGCCTGAAAACAAACGATTAGCGATTAGCGTTAGAACAAAAACAGCATCCTGTGTAAATGACAAGGCCACGCAAACACACTAAGTTGGCCCTCCAGGGATCCCGATGGGCAGAGCAACACTTAGATAATCCTGTCAGAGGGAGTTGTTGGAATTAAAGAACCAGCTTCTCTTTGGTTCAAGGAACACTTGCTGTTGAAGGCCAAGCTGGGAAACGGATGAATAAAAGAGATGCCGACCAGCATATAAACAAACAAGACTGAATTATTTTTGTGAGTCATTGTGTGTTCATGTTTTAATGATTTGATAAAAGAATTTCAAAACTAATTATGCCTAGCTGTTAAGAAGCTAATTTTATATTTTAAACCTCTGCCAATTTACCGGTAACTAAGAAGGCAAGCACCAAGACACATACATAATCATGTAGTTTTATATTATCGTGGTATGGTATTAAGTTACATCCAGCATATATTATGGTACATATGAATTTATGTATAAATACATTCTCAGAGTCTTCTACTACTTATTATTTATAAACTGTAATTGTGAATTGATCCTTCTTTTGTTTATTAATATTATCATCAATTAAAGCTTATTAAGCCAAATTTTTCCAAATAAAGTCACTGCCTCCTTGTAAAAGAGCATATTCGGGAGGTAAATTAACTGCTTTTGTCACTAGGTACAATATAGCAAGTGATGGTTGTGCTGAACTAGAGAGTCAAACTGGGTTAAAAGAAGTACTCTGATTTTTCAGATAGCTGAAAAACCAGAAAGGTCTATTTATTTTATTTGCTTAGAGACTCTAGATTAGCATTATTTAATAGAAATAGAACAAAAGCAAAAATGCTCATCATATGTGTAATTTTAAAATTTCCAGCAGCCACATTTTTCAAAAGAAAAAAACAGAAGTTATTTAAACAATACATTTTATTTAACTTAATATATCCAAAATATTACCATTTAAGCAGGCAATGAATTTTAAAATATTGGCATGTTTTATATTCAAAATCTAGTATGTTTTACACTTACACCACATCTCAATTTAGACTAACAACACGTAAAGTGCTCAATAGTTACCATAATGCTATATTGCTAAGTAGCTGCCATATTTGATAAATTAACCCTAGAACAACTATCTGCGCTCAGAAACACATACAAATATATAGCACTAGTACAACTATTGATTCACTTTTTAAAAATTCATTGTGAGAAAACAGAGTAGATTTTAAAAGACTGATATGATTAAATATCCTTTAGACTTATTATTTAATTACTACTTCAGAACATGACCATATTTGGAAATACAACATAGTATTGGAGTTCTAATCATGGAAATAATTCATTGGAGATAATATTTGCTGTCACGTGTCTTTTATACAAAAATAGATGGCTATACAGGGAAGCAGCTGATCAGAAAGATTTGTATGCAATATTCTTTTAAAGCTTCAATTTGATTTATTTTCTAGATAGCTACAACTTAGTGGAAAGTCATTTCTAAACTGTAAATATCAGTAAGATTCTTCCGATATGTGTCTTAAAATACAGGCTTGAGAAATGCTAGACACCGTAATACTAACATGGACAAAAACTAAAGACTATGATAAAAACTGAATTATACATGAGAAAAACTTGATCTTCGGAAAAGAGTTGGGCAAGCTTGCCCCTTGCTTGTGCTTAGCCATATTAAATAGCATATTGGAAGGATTTGATTTTTAGGCCTCCATTAAGCACAGCAGTGTTCTAATGAGGAACACTTCGGCCTCTGGATCAGAAAAGGGCAAGTTTTGCTCCCATCTGGCGTATAATCTCTTCACCAGAGGGGATGGCTTAGTGGGTTTTAGACTCCTTGGAACCAAAGATTCAGCCTCTGTGAGGCTGACTCAGCCCTTACTCATCCAACCCATCTGTTTCCCATAGAAGGTCTTTGAGATGAAGCTCTGAAAATGGGTCCTGAATCCATCGCACGTGTGATTAAAGGTCGTAGGCTGTGTGTAGTATGAGCAGAGTGGTTGCGTCTCTTGGGGCACTTGAGTGCATTTCAAATTCTTATCTTTTAGGGATCACTGGATCTAAAAGAAAAAAATCCAATGAATGATGCATCCCACTGGCATTCCAAAGAGCAAGTAAACAAAAGAAATTATGGGTTTGGGCTCAGAAACCCCAACCCTTGAGATTTCAGAAAACAAAACGACTCATTGGCAAGAGGCACTGTAACGACTCAGGTTCAAATCCCACCTCTGTTATTTACCAATTGCATAACTTTCAGCTTCAGTGTGACCTGACCCTGAGCTTTCCAATCCAAAAATAGAAGTAATGTCTATGTCATGGAGTAGTCGGAATGATTAAATGAGATGACATACACAACACATCGAACATACTGCCTGGTACAAAGTCATCATTTATTATTAATTAATTCATAGGTCCAATAAGCTTTAAAAAGTTGTTTTCATTTTTATACTAAAAAAAAAGTACACACTAAGCTATTTACCAAAAGACAAAGTCAAAGCAACCTGAAAAATTCAGTCAGAACAATTGATTTTGTCAGCATCTATACCTAATTTATTGTTCTTGTTAGCTAAGTTTGCCCAGTGTATAGAGGTTCCAGGGAGCATGATGCAGTTCCCATGTCCTGTCTGTGGTATTTCATACAATCGTATGTTAATGTCTCAAAGGAAGCCTGGGGAGAACATATGCAGATATTTCCTGATACTTCAGTTATTTGGAAAGCAGGCACTTATTTCTAGGGACCATGACATGAAAGCGAGTTGGTATTTCCTAAGGACAGGGGCTATGGTGGGCATCGAATTTGCACTCCGCTGAGCCTGCCATTCAAACAGGACAGCAACGAGGGCCTCTCTTTCTCAGCCCCGCACCTTCTGTGCAATTCCTCCAGCCCAATGACCACGGAAGCACAAGACAGCAGTTGTCTTTTGTATAAAAAAAAAAAAAAGGTGACAGGATAGGCTGAAGGGGGCAGGTTAAATGCAGCAGTGACTAAAGAACTGCACCTGCCCTCCTTCCACTTTCTTTCTTCGATTGATTTGAAAAATACAGCAGTGGATTTGTCTTAAGAAAGGTGTGCAGTTTATTGACACTTACAATTATGTATTCCCTTGGAGGAAGACATGAAACCAGTTTTCAGGCAGGGTTTGGTTAGGAAGATACATGTCACCAACACACGGGATCTTCTCGTGCCAACTGCTTCGTATTTGTAAAACTAACAAATTGAGTCAGTGTCTACTATAATGAGATGCTGTTCCTGCTCTATGCGGTATAGGGAAGTAGGCAAAGCATTCGTGCAAGAGTCTTGCAGCCTGCATTCGATTCTTGGCTGTGCCACCAACTAGGTGTGTGACTTTGGATAAATCACCTGACCCTTCTAAGCCTCTTAGAGCTGTGAGCTGGGTGTAGCAACAGAACCAACTGTTCTTGGGAAAACTTAGAAAAGGTTTATTACAATGTCAGACATATAACTAACAAGCATCTTTTTGTGAGCTATTTTCTGGCAATTGAAGGCTTCAACTTAATTTTTTTCTAAATGTCTGAATGAATCTGTAGCTTGCCAAAATGATAGCAATACCTGTCATTTTTGAGTTCCTATTGCTTGAGTTCCTTAGAAAGTTTAGGCAACCCATCTAAGGTCTCACGCCTGGTTCATGGTGCAGCCAGGATTTGCACACACACATTGAGCACTCTACGTCTATTTAATATGGTAACAAGCCCACAGATGGAAACATGACCCTATGGTGGTGCTGGGAAGAGACAGCCCAGCTGAGGCTGGAGGCAGTCCCTCTTCACAACACTGACTCTTCCACCAAGAAAGACCACTGGCTATGGCACAGAGGGGCATGAGCTAAACACCAGCCTTGGCCACCATTTTACCCTGCTCATGAGGGCTAAACCTTGCTGTATTTTGATTATCTTTTTTTTTTAGACAGAGTATCGCTCTGTCACCAGGCTGGAGTGCAGTGATGTGATCTCGGCTCACTGCAACCTCCACATCTCGGGTTCAAGCGATTCTCCTGCCTCGGTCTTCCGAGTAGCTGGGACTACAGGCGTGCACCACCAGGTCCAGCTAATGTTTGTATTTTTAGTAGAGACAGGGTTTCACCATATTGGCCAGGATGGTCTCGATCTCTTGACCTCATGATCTGCCCACCTCTGCCTCCCACAGTGCTAGGATTACAGGCGTGAGCCACCGTGCCCAGCCTTGATTATCTTTTTGATAAAATGATCCAGAAAGTTTTCTCCCTGAGGACTTTTTGGTGGAGAAGCCTTAGTGCACACACAGAAACACCTCGACTATCTGTCAACTTCACACAGTGACTGCCGGATGGAGTAATAGGTGCTCCTCTTCCTCAAAAAGATGAATTTTATTGGCCTAGAGACAAAAACAAAGCTATTAACCTGAGAAAGGTAAAAATCGTGGGCAGGTAGAAAAGTCTTCACAAAGTCAGACTTCTTCATTTCTATCTACTTGTTTAAAATTGTGCTAAAGGCTAAAACATATTCCTGGAAAAGACCAAGCAAACATAGCTGGAGACCAGGTAAACCCAGTTCTAAAATTCCAACCTATTTGCCTATTATAAATGGAAGCCTTTTCAGGAGGACCTTAAGAAAAGGCAAGCTCCAGATATGTTCAGTGGGTGCAGACCTAGACAGGGCTCCTCAGGCCTGAGCTTCAGAAGCTGTGAGTTGGGTTACTAAAAGCGCCCTTACAAGGAAACCCCTAGTCCTTCCCAGGTGAGTATGCCTTCCAAGGCACCCCAGGGGCAGCTCCTTAATGTCCAGGAGTTTCTTCCTTGCCCAGCTCCAGTGCTCAGCCCAGAGCCACACTCCCCCCAGAGCCCCCTGGCCCTGTGTTGGCTTCCTGTTGCCTCTGCAGAAAATCACTACAGACCAGGCGGCTTCAGGCATCATAGATCTACTGCCCAACAGTCCTGGAGGCAGGATGTCCAAAATGGGTCTGACTGGCTTAAGACCCAGGTGTAGGCATAGCTGGCTCATGCTGGACACTCCTCTGGAGGATCATTGCCCCTGCCTTTCCCGGACTCCAGGGCTGCCCACACTCCTTGGACACACTGTCCTGTCACCTGCTTCAGTCGGCTTTCTCTGTCACGTCTCCTTCTCTCTCTGGCCTTCCTGCCTTCCTCTCACAAGGACCCTGTAATTACATGGGCCCCACCCAGATAATCCAAGATCACCCCCCACCTCAGTACATTTAACTAAATCACATCTGCAAAGTCTCCTTTGCCTCGTAAAGGGACATAGCCACAGATTCCAGGGAGTAGGATGCGGGCACCCCGGGGGCCATTCCACAGCCCACCACATAGCCCAAAGGGATGCACCAAGCAGGAACTAAAGCAGACGCTGTCCAGGCGGCTTAAAGAAGGGAGGGCTTTAAGGAGCGGACCTTCCCACTGCTGGGGGGCTGCCTTTCTACAGCACCATGAGCACCATGAGGCTGTTGGTTTTATCCACTGAGAATGAAATAAACTACTGAGAGAAAGCTTTTATCTCACTAATAGATCTGAAGTCATGCCCTTTAAAAAATGAGAATAAGAGATAAATGTATAATAATAAACTATGTTGCAATTTCCAATAATTAAATGCATTCCTTTTTTATATTCATATATTATGGGGTTTTCCATTAGGGCATGTTGTTGACGCTGACATTTTCAGAACCATTAAGTTTGTTTCCACAGCTAGTTTTCAAGGGCCAATAAGGAAAAATAATAGAACCTAATTGGAAAATAAAACAGAATTGAGCCCAGAACATCTCAGTTAATGAGCAATAGAGATTATATTGATTTCATTTTATAAATAACATTAACCCTCAATAGCAATTAACACACAAAGAGATTGATTGTTTAAGTTATCTGATAAAACAGGTTCATACATTCAGAGTATTAATCTAAAAAAGGATATTAGTATCCAGGAAGTCATTGATCGGTTCACCAGGATTAACGTTGATAAAAACCTTACCAGTTCTGCACATTAAAGCACACAAGGAAAACTGAAACCTTCCTGCAACTAGTGATAAGAGAAAAACATATTCTGGCTAAAAATATACTTTTTAAAGCTGGTTTTCCTGTCAAATCATCAATGGAATGATTTTGTACTAGCTTATTCATTCTAGAACACTTATGGTTATGATCAAAAAGAGAAGAAAAGAAAAGCTGTTAAGGTCAGCATTTGCAAAACAAGTTCAAGTACCAGAGCAAGACCACAATCAACAAATCTATGACTAATGGTTGGAAATTTTAAAAACCGCTTACCATCCTACCAGTGTGATGGAAACTATTCAGTGGATCAATTTGTAATCTTTATTGTTCTAGAAGGCACCATCTTTTGCTCTCTAAATCCTTCCACTTTCTTCAGAGGTCTCTTTGACTTAATTGCTAGTTTTTGAGTGTTGACTATTTTTAAGGGAGACACAAAATATCCAACCAACTAACCATGAAGCAACCTCAGTTGGTTGTTCCTGTTCTGGGATCCTCTGGATGGAACACATTGAAGGTTCATATTTTCTGCATATTTCCTACTGCAAAGCAACAGATTAGAAATGGATCCAATATAATTTTTAAGATCATCTACATAATCTGCTACAGATTAAATTAAATCTCATGGGTAGTTTAGGAATACCATCAATCAATGCACACAATGAAACCTGAAACCTTCCTGCAATTGGTGATAAGAACTAGCGAAAAGAACAGCGTGGACAGAAAGCAACAAAAGAGTCCCTAGATAAGTGCCAAGAAGACAGACTGCAAGCTGAGAAAGCGGGTGGCACCATCTTTTTGTTGGCATTAGGGACACAAAGATTCTCAATTCACCATTTCCGGTCTCTAAGAGCTCAAAGGAGGAGATAATCACATCAACAAATAAATATATGCAATCACCACAGCAAAAGGAAAATTTGGTCAAAAATTATTTCGCTCTAAGGAGTCAGTCAGGTCAGCTGTAGAAATGAAGTGGCATTTGAACTGAGTATTGAAAGATGAGAGAAAAATGGAAGGAAATTCCCCCAAGAGGCAAGGAGTGGGCCAAGTAAGACAGGACAGAAGGACACGGTCTTTGGTTGGAGTGGCTGAGTGGACACGAGGGGAAGGCTGGAGATGACAGTCCTATGCTGACCTGTGGTGTGACGAGATCACTGCACCTTGCTAAAGCACCTGGCCACAATTCTCTCAGCAATGAATGTTAAAGCAGGAGAGTTTCATAATCACATCTATCAAAGATATCATGGGGATTCTAAGAAGGGGGAAAGACTGTGATGGAAAGCAAGTTAGGAATGCAAGCGTTCAGACAAGCTAGGCTAGGGAGAAGACAGTAGAATAAGCAAGATGCCAAGGCGCTCCACTGGCAGACTCACCGAAGATGAGTGAGGGCAGGTAGCTGTCCAAGACAGCTCTGAGATTCTGGTTCAGAATGGCAGTGCCAATGACCGAGCAGGAAAGGTGGAAGGAAAAAATACGTTTTAAGGAAAAGATGATTCTCTCAGGAGCAAATGGAAGCTATGGTATGTGCAGGCATGCAGAGAAGAGATTTATTAATAGTTGGTAGCAGGAGGTATAAACCTGGCTATACCAGCCAGAAGAGGAGTGGCAGGCATGGGAGCAAATGAACACATGCTAAAGAAATAACTCTGTGAGAATTCATGTTGCTTTGCCTGATATTAGGAAGGAACATAGTGGAGTGAAAAATACATCATCCTGGAACTCTCAGAAGTTACTAGAGGGAAAAATTTAACACAAGTCTCTGGAAATAAAATTATCAAAATGTATTGAGTCTTCTAGATATTTCACTTCTAAGAATTTATCCTAAGGAACAATAAAAAATATGATTAGGACTTTACTTTGGAAAGAGACTGTCCTGAACATTTTAATAACTAAATTTAAAAAATTATGCAGATGGTCAAAAAAAGGAATGGTTAAGTGGTTCCATATAGTAAAACATTGTACCATAACTAAAAAGTCATGTTGTTTAAGGAATATTTAATACCATGAAAAAAATCCTCATGATGATAACTATGAGATATGATGGAGCTGACCTATTATAAGATATTATGCAAGCTTAGAAAAATTGTCAGAAGGTAGTGGCATTACAGGCAATTTTCATTTTCTTCTTTTTATTTTACATGTTGTCTATATCTTCTTCAAAAAGTATATTAGTTTTATGAACAAAAACAATTTTTAATAAATGGAGAGAGATATAATTATGTATCTAGTTACGTCATTGGTGGAAGAGAAGGAAAAATAAAATAAACACACTTGGGAGGAATGCAAAGAATGAAGGACAGCAGAACAAACATAGGAAAAAGGCAGCAGAAGAAAACTGAGCAGCTCACTGAATAGGGGTCTAATTTTTCCCCTGAGGTTCCTTGAGTTTTAAAAGGTACAGATTTTGTTGCAGAAGAAAGCTACCAGCTTCAAGACTCCAACATAGCCTGATGATGGGAAGAATACAGTGGTCCTGTCTACATAGCTGTGGAAGGTATTTCTCATTAAATAATTAGAAGTTTCCATTTTGGAGTCAAACAAACAAGAAACAAAAGATGTGCCATCATGCATCTGTACTGCAGGAAAGCAGAGACGGTTAACACCACCACCCTCAGATCCCTGGCTTACTCTGATGGCTTCTCATAGCAGTTAAGCAACATCGATTGCAAGACTGGTGAATATTTGCTGACTATATATTGACAAATCATCTCATTCACTATTTGCTAAGTCAATTGGTAATATCCCAGTGCCTAAACGTCATAAAATGAAATGATCTGTGGAAATTTAGCATTCGAATTTGGATCAAGTTTCCCCTCCCCACCTTAAAAAAGTCTGATTATTTTTATTATCGGTGGCGCCAGGCTACATTAGAAGGAACTGAAGCAATACGACGAAGGAAGTGATTTATTTTTGCTGACAGCTTTCTTGTATTTCATAGTCACATGTCCAAGGATTCTTTGATAGTGTAGCTTTTCTTTGATATTTCATGTGCAATTGCTTTCCTCTTGGGTTTTATTCTCTTCTTGTAATCCAGCTAGTAGCAAACTACGTAATTTACATTTATTGCAAGAATTTATAGACTAGTTAAAAAGGCAACATATGGACACTAAGAAGTTAGAGGACTATGTAAGATAAAACTAACAAAATGCTTAAAAAGTCCTTCTTCTGCTGAAGGCATGCTCAATAAATGTTTGTTGAAGAAATGAATGAATGCAGTAGCAAAATATGTAATACAGAATATAAGTATTTTGTGCAATAAATTACAGAGAGGTAGAAAGAGAGGCAAAGAAGCAATGGGAGACAAATTAATGGCCAGAATTTGGAAAGCAAGAAGTCACTCTAGGTACCAGGCAGCATTCAGCAGAGCTCAGAGGCAGGGGACCTGTTCTTTAAGAGCTCATGAGAGAACTTCTTGGGGCAGAGTTATATCCTTATGCTGCAGAGCAGGACAAGGGAACTTGAAAGAGTAAACTGGTTCTGCTCTGAAGATGGTCTAGACTGGAGAGCAGGGACTTTGGACTTGAATAGCAGGCACCAGGGAAGCTGCTGGAAGCTCTTGAGCAAGGGAGTATGATGTTAAAGACAGTGTTTTGAGAAGGCACGTTAAATGGGAGCCCACAGAGATGGGAGAAAGGGGAGAAGTGGAGAAGACTTACCTCTCAAGCTGGGGTTGAGAGGAGAGCACAGCCTAGGATGGTGGACACATGAATAAAGGCACTGAACAGCACCAGGAGGTAGGTCAAAGGAGGAAAGAGCTGATTTAGTGACTTATTTGGCTACAGGGAATAAAGGAAAGAATAGAGAAAATATTTTCAATTTTCAAGTCTGGTTGCCTGGGACAATTATGATTCATTAAATTCAGTGAAGAATTTGAAGAAAAGTTAATGCAGCCTAATTATGAATTTAAGATACCAGCAAAGTGAAGGCACCATCATTTTACAAAATAATTTGATATTTTAGAAAAAAAGCACGCAAATTTTTGTGCTGGGAAACATTAGAACTTAAGACTTTCTTACACTTCCTCTGTGGTTTAGTCTTTGTGGTAGTTTGGGAAGATGGAGTCATATAATTCTTTTCACTTTTGAGGGATGCTGTAGATACTAGAACTGGGCTTGGGACATAATAAATTTGAAATGAGAACTTGGATATCTCATTAGATCCAACAGGCCATTGATAAAATGGTTCCGTCATTCACCAGACTCAGGGCTGTGAATGTAAGAAGGAACTTACCAATTTTATTTTGAGAAGAGACAGCTCCACCCTGCAAAATATTAACATTTTTTATAGTTCACTGTAGTCTTTGACTATCTCTATGAATGCCTTGTGGTCGCAATAATTATGCATGCAGTTGTGTGTTCTGGGTTTTTCCAAAGTAGTCTCAGAAGCAGTTCTCCATAATTCTACAGGATTCACAAAAATCGTTTTAATAGCTGCATACTATTCCATCAAGTGATGTATCACAAATATAATTCCCCATTTCCCTGAGCTTTTGATTTTTCTTCACCATAGATAAAGTTACATAAACATTTTCTCCACCATTGATAATGTTATGTTAAACATTTTTTTCCTATTGAATTATCTCATAAAGGATGAACTCTCAGGAAACCAAATCAAATTATGTAAGCAATGTGCAATTCTTACCATGTTGCTTTTATTTTTATTTTGTTCTGCTCATGAAATAGTTACTCGTATTTTATACAAATTACAAAATTTATAGAACTCCCAAGCAGAGAAAAAGAAAATTCCTCATGATCTGAGCTCCCAAAAGTAATAACTGTCAACAATTTGTATTTATCTTCCCAATTACTTTCTTCTCTATGCATGCACTGACATATTATTATTAATTTATATGAAATTTTGATCATGCTGTACTCATATGTAAATCCTTCATTCTCCTTAACGAAGGCATAGGCTGTCTTTGTATAGTTAGGCCATGATTTATTTATTCATTCCCCTGATAATTATTTGCAGTTCTTTGCCACTAGAAACAGTGGTGCAGCAAAAGTGTGTGTATGCACATGTGTCTATCACACTTTTGTGAGTGTTTAAGTAGAATTCATTCACATGCATACACACTTTCATTGTACCATTCTACGTCTAACAAAAAAATGTTGCATTCAAGGGTACAAATAATTGAACGTAATAGTTGTTCTGAAATTGTGCTCAAAAGCATATAGCATAAGAGAAAGAAGCCAGTCACAAAAGGCCACATATTGTATAATTCCATGTATATGAAATGTCCAGAATTGATAACTTCACAGTGTTGAAAAGTAGATTAATGGTTGCCTAGGGCTGGGGGCCAGTGGGAGGAGTGACTGCTAATGAGTGCTGGTGTCTTTTTGGGGTGATGGCTGCACAACTCTCTACATATACTAAAAACCATCAAAATGTAAAACAAAACAAGCAAACAAACTACATTGCTTTGCAAAATCAATTTCTGAATCTTCGCTGAACCCTCCCATCACCTTCTCTAAGGGGAGTTTGTCCCTTCCACAGGACAGCACTGCCTTCAAGGCCTTACCAGGGGTGGTCTCCCATGCCCTCATACTGCTGGGGCTGGAGGAGAATGTGTGCCCTCTGCTCCTCATTCCCATTTCTCCTCCCTCCTCCTTCTTTTCTATAAACAGAACAAAACAAACCAACAAGCAATGATCAAGTTGAGTCTCACATCATTAGCTGCACACTCAGGCCTCATCACTAGTTCCCTGAAGATGGGAGCCCCAGGTCACTCTTACTTTCTTCAGCACCACTCCTGTCCTGATTCTCTGTGATATCAGCAACCGCATAGATGTTCCTGATCTCTCAGTTCCTTGGTTTTCTCTCATGTAATGACATTGCCCTCTCCCTTAACTCCTAATTATGCCCCATACATCACCATATCAATTATTGCATAATCTCAAGTTCAGGCATTCACTCTCCAGCCAGGACTGTCTTCCTAATTCCCTCCAGCACCACCATTCCAATCATTTTCCAGCCTCACAGGAACAAAAGAGATCCTCCCTCCTTTCTCAATGCCTCCTCACGCTCAGGCCTCCCTCCTGTTCTCTCCCAGTGTGAATTCCCTGGTTCCAGCATTGTAAGAATTAGGAGCCATCACATTAGACTTCAATGTCTTCCCCCTTCTTCCTCCTCTCCTGGAAAAAGCACAATTCTGTTTAAACACAGTTCACTACCTGCTTTGTACTTGTGCTCATGCAGTTGAATGTGCTGGGAGGTCACAAGATGATACTGACAGGTCTCACTTTGAATTCATGGCCACAAACTTCCAGTGGTCTTTGGTGCTGCTGGGCCATCACTATGTTTCCCTCATCCATCCACTTTCCTTTCTTCTAGATGATGATTCCATACTTTCTATTCCCATAGAACCTCCCATAGTTCCTCTCCCTTCCTGGGGCAGAGATGATGACCTTGTTTCTTATTTCACCAAGAAGACAGAAGAGCTCAGAAGAGCAGTTGACACTTGTCCACCACACAATGTCCACACTGCCCAGCACTGGGCCTGCCATGCTCTCTGCCTTCCCTGCAGGCTGCAGAACAGCTGAACCACCTGTGCTCCACTTAGCCCATTCCTGCCTTTCTCACCTGCTTGAGGACACTGTTTCAGCAAATCACCGTTTTCTCCCTGCATCAATAGTCCCTTACTTCCAGTGCTTCATTGCCTGGGACATACAAATGTGCATTTGTTTCTTCTATTAATTTTCATTGTTGTCCCCTCAATTCTCTCTCTAGCTACCAGCTCCTTACTCTTCTCCTTTGGAGCAAAATGTCTCCAGAATTTTCTATACTCAGTTTCAAATCTCTCTCTTCCCATTATCCTGAAATTCACATCAATCAAGCTTTTGCATCACTAAAGTGGCTTTGGTCAAGGTCCCCCCAGAGCCACCTAGGGGTCAGACGGCAGCCCTCATGTCACTCACCTGTTAGGAGTACTGACGGGCAGCTGCCAACTCTGCTTTGTGGAAATGATTCCTTCACAGGGCTCCTGGGGCACCACACCCTACTGGTGTCTTCCAGCACCTGGCTGTGCTGTCTCAGGTGCTTGCTGAATCTTTATCTTCCCATTTCCCTAAATATTGGACGTCCCAGGGCCAGTCTTTGGATGTCCTTCCTTCTCAGTCCACACTTACTGCCTTGCGCCCTGCCCTGGTCTTGTGGCTTTCAACACCCGCTGTGTGTGCATGTCTTCCTAAGGTCCTCCTGGGCTTCCACCTGCAAGGTGGCTTCCCCACTGCCCTGGGCCCTGGCTTCCATCCTGCTCTGTCCACGCACCAGGGACCCCTCCAGCCCAGGGTCAGCACAGCACATGGGCCCAGTGAGCCACATGGCCCTTCCCCTCACTTTCTTCAAATTTGTGCTGAAATGCCCCCTTCTCAATGAGTTTTTCCTCGAATGCCTTATTCAGAATTGCAACCCCATTCCATCCTTGGCATGTCCTAATCGCCCTTCTTGCCTTTTATCCATATCATGTACGACATAGACTCCTGTGATTTAGTTTGTTATGAGCTGTTTCTCACCCCACTCCACTGTACCTAAGCTAAATGAGGGAGGAATTCGTGCATTCACTGGTTTATCTCTAGTGCCTTGAACAGTTTCTCAACAATGAAACGCTGAATGAATAAAAGAATAAATGAATGCCAACAGCAGTTTATCAATGTGCTCCTTCTATTATAAGGAGTGTTCCAAGTTTAAAAAACTGTTCATTTAGTAAGTTTTAAATGAAACTTCAGGTTTCCTAATTTACAGTTCTTTAAAAACTATCAATTACTTAATAAAATTTCTATTTTCTTACCGTGCCTATTTAAGGCTTAGATTTTGGAAAGCAGCAAGACTGTTTTCCATTTGTTTGCCATGATCTCATGCAGCAATCTAAAATAGCAAATGTGTAGTGAAGCGTCTGATGATACTGAAGTAAAAAATGCTGCACCCTGAGAACGTACTGTTATTAATAGCCTGGAGCCAGGAAAAGCTTCCTCAAATCTTGAAATTAAAGTGTGTTGTTTATTTCTCTAATAAGAACATTACTTTTCTTCCTTGAATTTGGTTTGAAAAGTAAAATGCAGAAAAATAGCACTCTTTAAAAGCTGAGGGATCCTATCATGAAAATAAGAAGCTGGGAAGATTCGCATTACCACCAGCCGTGGGTGGCTGTTAAGAGGCAAACACAGCTGGTCCTCACTGACATCCACGGCAAAGGTCAAATGTGCCAGATTCTGAAGATTTATCATGAAAAAAAAAAGAATGTACAATCTTTTATTAATATGTTTATTTTGATTACATGTTAAAATCATCAAGTTTTAGAGAGGCTGCATTAAAGCAATATAGGCTTGAAATTAATTTCAACTGTTTCTTTTTCCTTTTTAATGTGGTTATTAGAAGATTTAAAATTGCATATGTGGACAGTGCTGACAATTTGAAACAAAGGCTAAAGAGACATAACAACAAATTGCAATGTGTGACACTTGATTGGATCCTGGTTTAAGAAATAAACAATTATTATAAAAAACATTATTGAAACACTTGCAGAAATTTGAGTATGTACTGCGTGCTAGATATTATGAAATTATTTCTATGGAATTATTGTTTTCTTAGATATAATAATGGTATCACAGTTATATAGGATGTTGTTCTTTTAAAACAAATGCTAGTATAATTAGGGGTGAAATATCACGATGGCTAAATTTATTTTAAAACATGTGGCCATATATATTTATAATTTAACACTTTATAATCATATTTGTATTTAAATATTTTATTTATGTTATTTTAAAAATATATTTTATATAATAAATATATTTTGATCATGTTATATTTATATATTTACACATTTACATGTATTTATACATATATATCTGTGTGTATACATAGATAGCTAAATATGAATCTGAATGAAAGTTAACTTGGTATTCATTGTGCCATTCTTTTAACAGCCATTCTCTTTGTTAGGCATGTTTCATGACAAAAACTTGTGGAGAAGTTCACAGCCCCCCAAAAACACCTTTTGACTAAAATCAAATGTCAAAATCATACCACAGTGACAATCAGTTGGAAGAAAGCCTGTATAAAGTAGTCACAGTTCAGAGAGTCAGATTATAAATAGCTATTTTAAGATAATGTATATATTTTATGCAATCTTATAGACTAATTTATCTATGAATATACAAAATCCCCTTAAGTCTTGAAGTTGTTTGTTTTGCTTTGAAGAAGCAATACTTTGAGGTATACCAAAGACAACATTTTACCTGCTAGAAATTGCCATTCATCCATTTGAGAGTAGATAGATGAGTATTCACTTTCTGAGGATGGTAACCTTCAGTCCATGTCTTTGGTGTAATAGTATACATCTTTTGAACCATACCAATAGGCCCTACCCATGGTAATCGCTCTCAATCTGACAGCTCCAATTTTTGCATTCACATCCACATCCACTTCTACAGAACTTAATCAACAGTAATAGCCTTAAATACTGCCTGAGGGTTTCTTCTATTAGGATGACATGCAAAACAAAGCTTATAGCAGTACAGAAGACTAATGACACTGTGCTTGACAGGTTTAAGGACTGAGTAATACTGGTTGTGAAACAGAAGTAGTTTTTTGGTAACATATTTATTTGGAAGCAAAGACTATGGTATCACCACATTACTTCAGTCAGAGAATGGTTCTTAATATCACTGCAAACATTAAATGGCAAGGAAAACTAGGTTTGTGGAAGACAATTGTTTAAATTTCTTTAAGTACAAGGAGATATTTGACGTTTATAAGAAAAATCTATTATGGTCCAAAGAATATGTCTTTATGATATCACAGGCACCAACTTAATTCCTGGACAGCTCTAGCTCTTGGGACTTCAGGAGATGATCCTGGAAGTCAATCCAAAGGAAACTGGTGTAAGATCAGGTGCCCTAAAGAAAGTTCAAATGTAACCAGAATGTCTGGAGTGTGGCAAAGTCAATATATAAACTACATATTCACTATGTAATGTAAATATTTTTCTGGAGTTGTCCTACCATTCCTCTCCATCTTGAATTGCCCAGCTCAGAAAACCCATTCCCAGGGACCTTTCCTTTCCCAATCCTGCCAAGGAGGCCCATCATATCAACCCTTGTGCCTCTGTCATGCTTTCTTCTTTTCCTGAGAGGATACTTGACATTTCCTTGTCATTTCCTTATGCCCACTGAGCTTGCTCGAAAGCACAGCTGAGCTTTTAAGGCCTTTGATCTTGCCACAGAGCCTGGATCACAGTAGGTTCTCAACATATGCTCAGAGGAGTGGCTTTCAACATTTTTTGACTGAAATCCCCCATGGTCACCAATACTTTTTTGGGGGGTGGGGAAGGCGTCTCACACTGTCACCCAGGCTGGAGTGCAGTGGCATGATCTCAGCTCACTGCAAGATCCGCCTCCTGAGTTCACGACATTCTCCTGCCTCAGCCTCCTGAGTATCTGGGACTACAGGCACCCACCACCACGCCCAGCTAATTTTTTTTGTATTTTTAGTACAGATGGGGTTTCACCGTATTAGGCAGGATGGTCTTGATCTCCTGACCTCATGATCCACCTGCCTTGGCCTCCCAAAGTGCTGAGATTACAGGTGTGAGCCACCATGCCCAGCCCAGTCACCAGTATATTTTAAATGCAGCTCAGCAGACATGCCCAGAGGCCTTGCCTATATAAACTGGAACAAGTATTTCATTAAAAAGCATTTAATCTTACTACATGAAATGCATGGATATTTTTTAATGTACTATAGTTTGGATTTTATAAATATTGTTTTTTAAAAATAAATATCAATACCATTCAATTGATTTCAAGTTTAATGAACTCTACTTTTAAATTGCAGAAGTTACCCACCTGCTAATGATCAGTTAATTGGCTTATTTAGGATAAGTGCAATGAAAAAATAGTCTTTCACCAAAGGTAAATGTAGATTTCCTTGGGGCCTGTTATATTTATTGCTAGTCTAATATAAATTTAGGGAAAAATCACTGCTGTGGATGTTCCATCAACTTCTTACCACCTATTACCCACCTAAGAAGGCATGACAACGTCAGCCTCAGCATTGTCTCTTATACTATGACCTCTGCAGTTACCTATATTTAGCCCCTGCTACTTGCTTGGTACAGATTCCTTGCGATCTCATTCCTTTAGTCAATCTGGAAGAAAGTGGATATAAACCTTAGTGCCACCATTCAGTGGAGTAGAGCAGTAAGTCATACTCCCAAAACTCAGGATTAAGAGGCTGAGCCTCAACTCTGGCTGCCATGTTTGACCTCCCCATCCCTCCCAAGTCCTTGGTGCCCAAGCTGCCCACGAATTGGAAAAGTCCACAGAATCCTGAGTGCCTGTATATCCATCCTGTAGTTCCTCTGCTCTTCTTTAGACCTGGGTTTCTGCCTTGAACCCCAACAGAAGCTGGGATCCTGGGACCCTAGTTCAATCTTGCCAACCTTCCTGCCTTTTGCACCCTCAGGAGATCATTGCTTGGTGCTCAGTAGGTCCCATGTCCTGCACTGTGCTAGCATGGAGTAGGGGTTGAGACCACATGCAGTGGCCTTTCTTAGAGCAGCCCTGCTGCTGGTCAGGACATGGACCTCCTGGGGCTGCCTGCTGCCCAGGCTAGCTCACCAGTTAAACAGCTTTATGAGATCATGAGCAACCACATACCATGGTTGGTCCCTTAGGGTCTTGTCCTTGCCTGCTGCATTCTTTTTGCACTGTGGCTTGAAGAGCTCCATCCAGAGCCCCAGAGTGTGGATTCAAGCCCTTGCCAACTGCTTCCCTCTCCCACTCAACCTGTGTTGCAGGGTCTCAGCCACTGTCATAGCCCCAAGACCAAGGGACAGGGGATGGAATATGCCAAATCCTCCTCTGGAGGTAGAAAAAATGAAAAACGTAGGGATTGCCTGAAGAAGCCCATAAACAACATGTATCTCTCCAAAAGGGTCTGTGGTTAAATGCCCTTCTTAGGGCAAGGAGCCTGAGATCTATGAAGTCAGCCCATTCTGACTTTTGTTTTAGGTTTGGTTAGGTGATTAATGTGGAGAAGCAAAGTGAGCATGAACTCCAGATCCCACTCTCCACTCACTTGCTCTGTGACCCTGAGCAGATTACTTAACCCTCTGTGCCTCAGTCTCCTCATCTGTGAAACTGGGAAAATAATGGTGCATATCACTTAGGGTTGTGATATGGTTTGGGTATTTGTCCCCTTCAAACCTCATGTTGAAATCTGATCCCCAGTGTTGGAGGTGGGGCTTAGTGGCAGGTGTTTGGGTCATGGAACCGGATTCCTCATGAATGGCTTAGTGCTATCCTTGCAGTAATGCATGAGTTCTCACCTTAGTAGTTCCCACAATAACTGAATGTTAAAAAGAGCCTAGCACCTCCCAGCCTTGCTTCCACGTTCATCATTGGATCTCTCTTCTCCAGCTCCCCTTTCCCTCCACCATGAGTAGAAGCAGCCTGAAGCCCTCACCAGAAGCAGATGCTGGCACCATGCCTCTTGTACAACCTGCAGAACCATGAGCCAAATAAACCTCAAGTTCCCCAGCCCCAGGTATTCCTTTATAGCAACACCAATGGAATAAGACAAGTTGTTATTAGGATCAAGTGAGTTAAAGAACTAATGTACTTAGAGCAGTGCCTGCAAGGGAGACTAAGTGTGATAACGGATCACAGGAAGTTAAGGATGGCAGGTACCTCAGGGTCTTTCACATGAGGGCATTGAGACCCAAGGCGGTGAAGGGACAAGCCCAAGGTTCATCTCACAAAGAGAAAGTGAGAACCACAAGAAGCTCTGATCCTTCCCTAGCTGGTTTTTTTCCTTCACTCTAGTTTGTGTACTTTGGAGGCATTTATAGGTAGCATGATCATTAATCTGGTCTGCAAGAGGCATAGGACAAGACAATAAAAATATTCCAAAGTCCCAGGAGAGAGAGCAGCCCCTCCTGGCTGGCCACCTCCTTCCCCAGTGCAGATATAATTAATGCACAGAAGAGAAGCAGGGGTGAGTTTACATGGTCCAAATGCCCCTTTCTGGTATGTCCTCTAAAATATGTTTAGCAAGAAAAAAGGGAAAAACCAATATTAATCAAACATCCTCCTGCCAACCATTGATTAAAATCATCAAGATAACTTGGGAAATAAATAATATTCCCATTTTACAGATGAAGAAACTGAGGGTCACAGGGTTAGACAATTTGTCCAGTTTAAGCTTGCTCTTTAGGGTGAAGTTGGGAATCAAACCCAAGACACTGACTCCAACCCTGTGTCTGCCACTGACTTACAGCTGCATCCTTTACCAGGTGAGATGTCTTCCCTCAACACACATGGCCGTTCCACCCAGGAAAATCTGAGGCATCCAGGTGCTGTCTCTCACTCACTCAATTGATGAAACTTTGTGAGTTCATAAAAAAAGGAGCAACAAGAATTTTTTCCACACTTTTCCACATTTTTATTCCATGAGTAGTTTCATAAGTAGCTTATTGACTGTGAGACCTGGAATCTCATAAAAAGTCCATAAAAATCCATCTGATGATAGTGGGCTATGTCTTTAGGAGTAAGCCCCTACTTGAGTTGGGGAATGGTTCCTTGCATTATAGAAGAATCTTCCAGAAGCAACCTTTAAACAAATGCTTACTCAATTAAACTCCAGTTCAACTCCCCAAAATTCCATTTCCTCCCACAACTCTCCACAAGAATTTCCTACCTTCTAAGTCTTTACCACCTACTGACTAAACCACGCCAACCAGTGGTGAGTGTGGCCCTGTTTTCCTCACGAGAAGCAGTCCTGGGAGGTAGAGCAGCTGGGCCTGGCTCTCGTCTTCCTGTCCAGGCCACTACTAGTGTAACCACCTTGTCCAGAGGGCCCCGGGTGTACCCAGCTGCACTTTCCATTGTGAATTCAGCATCACCATGGATGCAAGAGCCCCTGGGTCCATGGGTTTGGATTCTATCTGTGCAGATGCGTAAGGTGGGCCCTGAAATGGCAAGTCTGAGCTCCTCTTCCCATCCTCTCAGCCCCAAAACCACCTCCACTCAGTCCAACCTGCACAAAATCATAGCTGTACCGCCTTGTCACTGCATCCCCACAGCTACTCATCACTTTGGAGGAATGAGTTTACGCTCCAGTTCACAGGACTTCTGTTTTCCACCTCTGCCTTCATTTCTGCTATGTCCAATTGGGCTGCCCCGCTCCGTTTGCGATGCGGCCCTGTGTTTCTGGGCCAGCATCAACCAGGCCTCTGCCCAAAAGACACTGCTAAGGCCTGCTGGGCTGACGGACCTGGCGGCCCTTGAGTGCTAGCTGCTTTCCCCCCAGCAGGGGTGGGGCGGGGACAGGGGCCTGACTGCACATCTTTCTCCTCCTCTTCTTTCCCCAGAGATTCAGCCGCTCCTGGCCCATCCCTTTTCATGGGATTCATTTGTAATAAAGCATGTATATCGTGCGGCACGTTGAAGTCATGATTGAACAGAGGTTGAAAGAGTTTGAGAACCCCTGTGAGATGATATCTCAATGGGACCTGAGTGTGGGAGCATCAGCAGCACAGTCTCGGGGCAGGTGATGGCCAAAACTGACACTTGTGGGTTTCCAAACCTCTCCTAGGGTGGCAGAGGGTGAGGGAGGACTGAAGGTCACGAAGCCGGGGATGGGGACCCCTGCACTGCTCCCAGCCAGGCCTGAGAGGGGAGCTTCCCCCACACACCTGCAGCAAATCCCCAATGCTCACTCAACGAGTCCACTGCAGGAGCCATAGCCCAAGCTGGCTTTGGTCCCTTCCTGGGGCTGGGGAGGAAGGCTGGAAAGAAATCAAGAGGAGGAAGAATTGGGCATTGAGCGTGACCACAGCACAGCAGTGAGAACAGCTCTATTCCAAGGAAGCAGGACAGCTGTGGCTCACACGTAAGAACAGCGCCCACTTCCTGGCGCTGTCTGCAGCAGCACTGGGTGTGCACTGACCATGGGCTGGCACTGTGCAAAGTACAGCTGCCAGGGTTATGTGGGCCCTGGACACAGGCTGCCCAGATATGCCTCCCAAGCATTTCACCTCCTTTTCTTGTCTATACAACGGCCCCTGCATCCTAAGGCCATTTAGAGAACTCACTTAGTGAATAACAGAAAGCACTGAAAACAAGGGCACATCAGAATTCCTCAGGAAATGTCACTTCTTATTCCCTTCTCCATCTTACAAATGAACAAGAGGCTTAGGGACGTTCCATGATTTTTCCAAGATCACACAGCTAATAAGAGAAAGAGAACTGGAAGCGAGTTTTGTCTGGCCCATTGCCCATGCTCTCCGTGAACTTTCTTTCATTTGCACTTACCATGGGACCCCCGCCTCCTCGTCACCCTCCCCATGCCCCTTGCCAAGAAGAAAAAGAAGCAACTCCACTGTCATTTGAACCCACGTCAGCTCTGCCCCCACCACCTCCCTGTGCTTGGAGCTTGGCAGCCACCTTTTCCAAGGCACTTAGAAGGAAAGCTATTATTCAGGTCAGGCGCCTGAGTCTGGGGTGGGGACGCATGACTCAGGTTCAGGATTTCAGCCCCCACCCAGATCCCACTAATAGGAATTTAAATGAAAAGCCCAGGAGATTAAAGGTGGAAAAGGCCGACTAGAGATTTTGAAGTGATTTTTTTTTCCCCAGCAGAAGTTAAATGCCCTCCTTCAAAGCAGGTGGTTCTGGCTGGATGATCAGAAGTGCGGCTGATCAGGCCCCTGTCGAATGGCCAGAGAGAAGCCATCTGGGATCCCTTCAGTGCCCCTGTGTGTGGGCTTGGCTGGCCTCATGAACCACACAGGGGTAGGAGCACCTGATTTGCCGGCTGGGCATTGGCCTCTCTGTGGCTGAAGATACAATGCATTGGTAGAAAATGTGAGGTTCGGTAAGGCCAAAGTTCATGAAAAGACCATAGAAAGATAGTGTGTTACAGATCCCAGGAGGAGGGGGCACGCCATGCCAAGGGGGCCGCGTGGGGAAGAACGGTTGGGTCAGGAGGTGGGGGACTGAGGAGCTGTGCAAGGGCCTTTACTGCGGTTTCTGTGGAACAGGCAAGGGAGGGCACGCAGGGTTAGGATTGTCTCGTTTGGATAGTTTCAGCAGGTTCGGGGATGTGAGACCTGTCCCTAGTTATCTGTTACCTGGCCCTGGGGGATTAGGGCAGGGAGTTAGCGGCCTGAGTGTGAGACCCCAGTGGAGGAGGAGGTTGGGGCATGGGCTCTGGATGGGTTTGCATGTGAAAGGCCACGGTGAGTCAGGGCTGCATTAAGGGGAATAGGAGTAGCAGGAAGAGTGCCTGCCGGAGGCCGAAGAGACCTGAATTCCGGCTCCAGACCACGGTCATCCTAGCTCTATGACCCCAGGAAAGGCACCAGCCTCTCCCCATCTCAGTTCCCTTATCTACAGAATGTGGGTTTGGACTAGGTAGCCTTGGACTAAGCTTTTGAGCCTTCCACCTGTACAGATGCAGAATGAATACTACTTGTACAAAAATGGGTTTAGAAAGACACAAAAATACTTTCAAATATCCTTCTACTTGGGAGACAAAATGGTTTTGAACATCCTTATTCTTCTACACAGCAGCATTTGACTCCTGCAGAGCTGACTGTAACGAGAGATTTATCTCCTGCTACTTCTCTAAAATGTCATTTCTTCCAATGTCTCCCAAGTTTAAGCGCTGAATTTTAATGTCATCCTAGTCTAAACACATTATATTTTATACATGGATCCATATTGACAAAAATGTCACAGTTGCTTATTAACTTGATAGGATCTGAGCACAGGATCAGGTAAAGGAAAAGGTATTTTTAAAAATCCAAGGGTGATGTACCCTGAAGGGGCCTTTTCCCACTAGAAAGAGGCTCCAACCTCCAGACCAGGGCTTTTGGTTTTTTCAGATTTTTAATCACCAATCCAGTCCAGTGAATGGCTCCTGTTATTTGTTGCATGAGAAGAGGAAGAAGAAGAAGAAGGAGAAGAAGAAGAGAAAGAGAAAGAAAGAAAGAAAGAAGATAGAAGAAGGGGAAGGGAAAGGGGGAGAAGGTACAAGAGAAGGAGGGGGAGAAGGAGGGTGAGAAGGAGGAGAAGGAAGAGAAGGAGGAGGAGGAGAAGGAGGAGGAGGAGAAGGAGGAGAAGGAGAAGAAGAACTCCTTGGAGAGCTCCCTGGAGAGCTCTCAGTGAATGGCTCCTGCTATTTGTTGCATGAAAAGAAGAAGAAGAAGAAGGAGAAGGAGGAGGAGGAGGAAAAGGAGAAGGAGAGGAGGAAGACAAGGAGGAGGAGGAGGATGGAGGGGGAGGGGGTAGGGGGAGGGGATGGGGTGGGGAAGGGGAGGAGGAAAGAAGAATTGTGACTTCTGTAATTAATTGTCTGGAGGGCTGGAGATTTGCTCTCTTGTTTCACAGGTGAGGAAACTGATCAGTGAATCTGCATTTCCTGCCCGGGCAGTAGTGGAACTTGGATTAGAGACCTGGGTCTTTGGGCTTTTTTACCCAAGGGCCTCCACCTGGTATGTTTTCCAAAGTAGATTTAAGAAAGTCAACTATCTTTTCAACCAACAAAGAGAATTTTGGATAAACTCGTGCTAAGTAAGGAGGAGGTTAAGCTATATCAGCAGAGGTTTATGAATTTGAAGAACTAGTTTGGAATCTCAGTTGACCTTAAAAGCTCTTAAACTCGCTTTCAATGCAGGTGACACCGGGCTTGAAACTTTCACCTGCCCACCTGGCCACACAGACCACGCACCTGTTGTGCAAGAGCCCAAGAGGAAAACGCCCTGGAGCCTCACAGCAATATGTGAAAGGAGCAGAATATATTCTGCAGAATATATTCCAGGAGCAGAAGAAAACAGCAAGCTAGGAAAAGCAAGAGGCAGCGCTGGGGACTCACCTGCCCATATGGTGATTCCTATCTCTTCCCCAGACCTAAGAAGTCTGTCGTCGCTCCCTTCCCATGTGCCACTTCTTGGTTTTATTACTCCTTGAAGTTTAGTATTAAAATTTAATCGCCTCTAGAAAAGACACAATTATGAAGAAAATCAAAAGGATCAGTGGTGCCAGGAGGTAGACCTGGTCGACCAGGTCGACCACCTGGTCTCCCTAACAGGAGGTAGTGGGGAGGAAGGCATGAGTCGGCAGAGCACAGGGGGTTTCTAGGGCAGTGAGGTGATTCCACATATTACCATAACAGGGGATACAGGTCATTACACATTTGGCCAAACCCACGGAATGTCCAGCACCAGGAGTGACCCTAAGGTGAACCGTGGACTCCAGGTGATGATGATGGGCCAGTGCAGGATCCTTGATCATATCAGATGTCCCCCTCTGGTGGGGAGTTGATAATGGGGGAAGTTGTGCCTGTGCGGGGGCCGGGAGGGGCTGGGAATTCTCTTTTCCTTCCTCTCAATTTTGCTGTGAACCCAAACCTGCTCTAAAAAAAAATCAAGCCTATTAATAAAACACATAACATGGTAATACTATAAACATATTTAATTGGCTAACAAGGATCTAATGTAATACTGGGCAATTCCTATCTCTATGTGAATTCATCATGGCTGCCTAGAATGGATCGGAGTTTTGGAGAAGCGAGGAGACAATTTACGAATTGTGAGCGTGAATCTCTGTGGCAGACTGGACGGCATGGGGTGCATGGGTAGCAGAAGGGCCCTTGGGGCAGCAGAGGAGAGAACGGCCGACAGGAAGGTGTAGACAGACGAACACAACTCTGGACTGGCCATCAGAGACATTGGAAACAGATCTCCTCTTCCGAGGAGAACTCCCAAGACCTGGAATTTGGGCTGGAAGTATCAGTCCCCTGGTTCAGGTTAAATAGAACAGCTCTGGGGCCACACAACTGAACCACACGGACTGGGGTCACACAGAAGGCGTGGGGAAGCCAGGGGCTGCCCTGGGGCTGCTGGGGTGTGTACACAGTGTCCATTGCCTCAGCCTCCAGCTCTGATATCAGAGCCTGGGGAACGAGTTTCCTCCCTAACCCTGGTGCAGATTTGGAGAAGATTGCAGGTGTGGCTCTGGCCAGGATGGAACGCTCTTTCTCATGCCCTCCTCTCCCAACACGTACCTTAGCCTCCCACCCTGGGGTCATGTGCACAGTGATTACCAGCCAGTTGTGCCCCAGCTCATGGGGTTCTGTGTGCCAATCACTGTGGCATGTTTCATGGCCTCTTTTCTTGTCTCTGGATTCGGACACAAGTCCCTGGAGAGTGGAGTCTGCAGCCCAGCAGTGCCCGGCGGGTAAACAATTACTGTGAGTGGATGAATGCACGAGCCAATCTCCTAGACACAGCCTCTCCCACATCCCGTTGCTCACGCGCTCTCCAAAGCTCAGTCTGGCCGCCTGATTCTAGCGACCCTGTCCTCCCTCCTTCCTGCTTAGCTCTTCCACAGGTCATCCTCCAAATTTCAGCCACACGCAGCATCTGTGGGGTGGAATTCTGCTCACAGCCAGCATCCTTGCTTACAGAAACCTTTCTCTGGCTCCCCTGGAAACCTCTCTCCAAGTTCTCATCCTTTCAGGCCTCTTTCATGCTTTCTCCTCATGCTTCCTGTAGAGGTCAAACTCCTCTTCACCATCATATCTTTTTGTGACTCCAGATAAAACTTACACTCTCCCCTTTGCTCTGGCAGATTCCTGCAGGGCTTTGGCAGTGGACTGACAGACACCAGGTGACCTGCCTCTCCAGGAGGATGGAGCAGAAGCCCTGCCAGTGTCCCCTGAAGGGCAGGGCTGGGGACCGCATGAGGACAAGGCTGGAGAGTATCCAGAGCCTTGTGGGCAGTCTCTCCAGCCTCCATGCAGCCACTGCGCACACACCCACAACAAAGAGGCATGTGCCATTCATCCATTTAGCCTGAGCCGGGTTCAAGGAGCTTCTGCTCAGGATAATCATGTACAGTTGCACAGTTCTTACACTGAACAAAGACAGCAGGCTGAAATCCATTCTACACTGTACTCTGTGTGCCCTGGCAAAGGGATGCTTTTCTAAATCTGGACAGACAGGACTCATTTTCCTAATTTGCACACAGCTACCTTGTAGGGTAGTAAACCAGCTCTCCCCACCTCACAACTTCTCTCTTGTGTTACTGCTGCATGCAGGGCTTTGATGACAAGTCACACAGGTGTTCTGTGTTTACCAGCATCCCCCAAACCTTGCACTACCAATCCCCCAATGCAGAAGCACAGGAGACAGAGTTGAGCCTCTATTTCCTACACTTTGCCTGTGCGACAGCCTTACAAGTTGTGGAGAACATTGCACATGCTGAACCTTTAACGTGGACGATGAATCCTGTGAAGTTAGGGACCCCAGCTGTTCTGTTCCCCACCTTCCTAGCAAAGCCCCCAGCACACAGACGGGGCTGCAGCAACGTCCATTGAATAGCTCAGACATCCACTTGTCTGCAGGAGGCTCTGCTCCCCCATCCTTCCCCCAGGCCTGCCTGGTCCCTTGGGCTGGCACTTATGCGTCCCACAGCATTTGGTTCTTGATCTTTTCCTTGGTGAAACCTTCCTTGCAACTCCTGTACAAAGCTCTTTGGGATCGGACCCATATGCCATGCCCATGATGGCTGCCAACTGTGGGTCCCCTTTCTATCCTGTTCAGGCGTCAAGGACAGGGGCAATGGCGTCTTCATTTTGTGAGTCCAATGCCCAGTGCACTGTTTAGACTGCGGAGAAATGGGTCTTCAGTGATTAAATAAGAGTCCCTAAGATTTTGCTTCTGAGAATCTTTCACATCTTTAATTAATAACAATAATAATACTTAGTTACTGCGTTACATATTTTCCTTATCTTGAATTGAGAAACATTTCAAACATACAGAAAAGCAGAGTAATACAATAACAACTACCACCTTCTACTGAGGCCAGACAAAAGCTAATATTTACTACGTTGATGCAGGCTTTTTTTTTTTTTTTTTTTTTTTTTCAAAATAAAGCACCATGAATACAGGTAACTACAGATAAACCTCTCTGTCTCCATTTCCTGTCCCCCTGACACAACTTCTCCACTCAAGTTGGTGTGGCTTCATCCATGTATATTTTTGGCTTTTACTACATATGTATGTGTTCAAAAACTATGAACTCTTCTGTGTATTTAAATATTACATATATCGGATTACATGGCATGAAACATTTTATAACTTGCTTTTAAAAATTTAACACTTGAAATTTTTCCAGGTAGATACATGTAGATCCAGTTCATTCATTTTATTTCAAAACTGTATTATTTCAAAACTAGAGTTTATCAATTCCATGAAAACCTCATCATTATGCACATTCTTGTACTAATCTCCTGGTTCGGGGTACAAGATTTCTCTAAGATATATCCCTGGAGGTGGGACTTCTAAGCTGTGGATAATATCCAGCTTTAATTTTACCAGATATTGCCCGAGTGATTTCAAAGTTGTAACAATGTGCACTATAACTGGACTCTCTAAGAGCTCTGTGCCCTGCACGACTGAGACTGAAATCACAAGCAAGTGTCAATGAATCTCAAGCATGTGAATGTGGAAATGGAGATCATCCACCAAGCCCTGCACCACACCCACTGTTAGAGGGTAGCTGGCCAATGGACTCAACGTGGACCGTGCCTCATTTAATTTGCATTCGCTCAAAGATCTTCACATATACATTGGCTGTTTGGATTTTGTTCTCTTTCAATTCCTTTTTAATTTTTTTGCCATTTTTCTGTTGTTCTTTATTTTTCCTTTCCTCATCTCTTTAAGGAAGTATTTTTTAAAAATATTCTGAGTACTTGTCAGTTTTATTTATTACAAATAACTTCATCCACTCTGTGGCTTGTGCAGTTTTCCTCCAGTGAGGTTATATATTTCCCATACTGTAATTTCTGGGCTGGGGTCAGGCCTGTAATCCCAGCACCTTGAAAGGCTGAGGTAGGACTTGAGCCCAGGAGTTTGAGACCAGCTGGGAAACATAGTGAAGCCTCATATCTACAAATATATGTATATACAAAATATATATTAGCCAGGCTTGGTGGCATGCACCTTTAGCCCCAGCTGCTCAGGAAATTGAGGTGGGAGAATCACCTGAGCCCCGGAGGTTGAAGCTGCAGTGAGCTGAGATTGCTTCACTACACTCTAGCCTGGGCATTGGAGTGAGACTCTATGCAAATCAAAACCACAGTGAGATACCATCTCATGCCAGTTAGAATGGTGATCATTAAAAAGTCAGGAAACAACAGATGCTGGAGAGGATGTGGAGAAATAGGAACGCTTCTACACTGTCGGTGGGAGTGTAAATTAGTTCAACCATTGTGGAAGACAGTGTGGCAATTCCTCAAGGATCTAGAACTAGAAATAACATTTGACCCAGCAATCCCATTACTGGGTATATACCCAAAGGATTATAAATCATTCTACTATAAAGACACATGCAGACGTATGTTTATTGCAGCATTGTTAACAATAGCAAAGACTTGGAACCAACCCAAATGCCCATCAATGATAGACTGGATAAAGAAAATGTGGCACATATACACTATGGAATACTATGCAGCCATAAAAAGGATGAGTTCATGTCCTTTGCAGGGATATGGATGAAGCTGGAAACCATCATTCCTAGCAAACTAACACAGGAACAGAAAACCAAACACCGCATGTTCTCACTCATAAGTGGGAGCTGAACAATGAGAACACGCGGACACAGGGAGAGGAACATCACACACTGTGGCCTGTTGGCTGGTGGGAGGCTAGGGGAGGGACAGCATTAGGAGAAATACCTAATGTAGATGATGGGTTGGTGGGTGCAGCAAACAACTTTGGCACGTGTATACCTATGTAACAAACCTGCACGTTCTGCACATGTATCCCAGAACTTAAAGTATAATAAAAATGTTTTGTTTTAAAGACCCTATGTCTGTGTAATTTGATCTCTGGAAAGATTATTTTAGCTTTTGGAGGGTAAGTTACTGAGGAAGCCCATGTATAATAAACCAACTAAAACACACTTTTATACCAACCCACAAACTTCGTCGGCACTTATCAAACAATAAATAATTAAAAATCATCCTTGGCAGTACAAAATAAATTTAAATAATAATTCCTGAAGTGATTGTGGCTGGGATTTTTGTCCTGTTAGCTCTTCAGATTTTCTGATTGATATTGATGACATATATTATCATTTTTCAGCTTTCGTATTTTATTCAGCAACTTTAGTGAACTATCTTGTAAGTACTCAGGGAATAATGTGAGTTACATTTTTTTCTTTCCATTTCTTATAACTCTTGTTTCTGTCCTTGTCTGAGACATGTCGGAGATATGACTTTAACAGGGATGTTTCTAAAGTTTGACCAATCTGTCATGTTTGCTGTGCTTCTGATAGATTCCACTTTCTAGTGCACCTTTCACAAACTGTGTTGGTAATTTCCTTTCCCAGGAATTTCTCTTTCGACCTCCATTACCACAGTAACTTGCTTAAGATTCATTTATATTTGCTTGTGATTCCAATCTCAGCTGTGTTTACTCTTCCCTCGACCTTTCCAATTCTAATATTTTTGTAAGGACTTTTCCCTTCTCTCTTCTGCATATCACTTCTCTATATGTTTCTAATAATATTTGCTAGGGGTTTGTTTATATCATGAGCCTATTCCAATGAATAGATTTTTCCGTTTTAATCTTTTGTGTTATTGTTTTCTTTTTTATTTCAATGATTTCTGATCACAATTTCTTCCCTTCTTGTTTCCCTAGTTTGTTAGGTCGCTCTTGTCCTAATTTCTGGAATAAGAATATGAGCCCATTAATTATTTTTTCTAATGTAATTATTTAGGATTATAAATATTCCTTTAAGTATTTCTTTAGCATTATATCAGAGGTTTTTCATGTAGTATATTCATTGTGGATCAGTGCTAAACGTTTTAAGATCACATTGTCACATTTTAATTGATTCTTCCATTGTTAGTTTTTGTCTTGAGTTATGTTTAAATTGTTTAAGGTGCATTAATTGTAATTGTACAGTTTGATGGATACTTATTTACATCTATGCCTATATTTAACCACCACCCAGCTCGGATGTGAAAATTTGCTGGGCTTCAGAAGTTTTCCTCATGCACTTCCTAGTCTATAGCCATCTCCCTGCCCCTGAGAAAAGTACTATTTTCTACTTGTGTAAGAAAGTATTCGTTTTGCCTATTCTTTTGCATTTCCAAATAAATTTGAGAATCTGCTTCTCAGTATCTTTAAGAAACCAGTTGAAAATTTGATCGGGGATTGTATTGAACCTGCAGATCAATTTGGGGAGGTTTGACATCCTACAGTATTGAGTCTTCCGAAGCAAACATGACATGTTTCATCACTCACATAGGTCTTGGGCAATTTTTGTCAACAACGCTTTGTATTTTTCAGTGTAGTGATTTTGCATATCTTTTCTTACATAGATTCCTAGATATGTAATGCTTTAGTTGTTACTGCGAATTGTACATTTTAAATTTAATGCTCCTCTTATCACTTGCTAGAAAATAAAAATGCAAATAAGTTTTTGTTTGTTTTGAGACGGAATCTCGCTCTGTCGCCCAGGCTGGAGTGCAGTGGTGCGAGCTCAGCTCACTGCAAGCTCCGCCTCCCGGGTTCACACTGTTCTCCTGCCTCAGCCTCCCGAGTAGCCGGGACTACAGGTGCCCGCCACCACGCCCAGCTAATTTTTTTTGTATTTTTAGTAGAGACGGGGTTTCCCCGTGTTAGCCAGGATGGTCTCGATCTCCTGACCTCGTGATCCGCCCACCTCGGCCTCCCAAAGTGCTGGGATGACAGGCGTGAGCCACCGCGCCAGGCCCCAAGTGAGTTTTGTGTATTAGCTTTCTGGTGAGTTTCCCGTGAATGTGCTGAATCCATGTATCAAACCAGCAGCTTTCTGTAAATTCTCCAGGATTCCTTATGTACACAGTTTGGTTCTTCCTTCCCAAACTTTATGTCTTTTAGGTATTTTTTCTGCGTTAGAGCACTGACTAGGATCACCAAGACAATGTTGAATAGAAACGGTGATGCTGGACACATTTACCTTCCCTGATCTCAGGGAGAAAGCATCCAGTATATTCATCAAGGGTGCTGGCAGCAGAAGCACCCTCATATGCCTGGTTTGCACGAGTGGAGGATATGAACAAACTTTTAGTTTTACCAAATGCTTTTCCTCCACATCTATGGAGATGATCAAATGGTTTTCTCCTTTATTCTGTAATGTTCTGAATTCTGTTGATAGATTTTGAAATATTAAACTTACGTTGCTAGGATTAATCCAAATGGGTCATGTTATATATATATATATATATGAATTTGATTTTAGGTTGGCAGTTTTATTTTTTTATTATACTTTAAGTTCTAGGGTACATGGGCACAATGTGCAGGTTTGTTACATATGTAGACATGTGCCATGTTTTTGTGTTGTACCCATTAACGCGTCATTTACATTAGGTATATCTCCTAATGTTATCCCTCCCCCCTCCCCCCACCCCACAACAGGCCCCAGTGTGTGATGTTCCCCTTCCTGTGTCCATGTGTTCTCATTGTTCAATTCCCACCTATGAGTGAGAAAATGCGGTGTTTGGTGTTCTATCCTTGTGATAGTTTGCTGAGAATGATGGTTTCCAGCTTCATCCATGTCCCTACAAAGGACATGAACTCATCATTTTTTACAGTTGCATAGTACTCCATGGTGTATATGTGCCACATTTTCTTAATCCAGTCTATCATTGATGGACATTTGGGTTGGTTCCAAGTCTTTGCTATTGTGAATAGTGCTGCAATAAACATATGTATGCATGTGTCTTTATAGCAGCATGATTTATAATCCTTTGGGTATATACCCAGTAATGGGATGGCTGGGTCAAATGGTATTTCTAGTTCTAGATCCCTGAGGAATCGCCACACTGACTTCCACAATGGTTGAACTAGTTTATTTTTCTTTTTGGCACTTTAAAGACAGCATTGTACTGTTTACAAGACTCCACTGATGTTGATGAGACGTCATTTCTTGTTTGGGACTGATATGGTTCAGCTGTGTCCCCACCCAAATCTCATCTTGAATTGTAGCTCCCATAATCCCCAAGTGTCATGGGAGGGACCTGGTGGAAAGTAATTGAATCATGGGGGCAGATTTTTCCCATGCCGTTCTCATGATAGTGAATAAGTCTCCGGAGAGCTGATGGTTTTATAAAGGACCATTCCCCTGCACACACTCTCTTGCCTGCTGCCATGTAAGACGTGCCTTTGCTCCTCCTTTGCCTTCTACCATGATTGTGAGGCCTCCCCAGCCATGTGGAACTGTGAGTCCATTAAACCTCTTTTTCTTTATAAATTACCCAGTCTCTGGTATGCCTTTATTAGTAGCACGAGAACGGATTAATTCAGGGACACTGTTCGCTTGTAGGAAAGATGTTTTTCTCTGACTGCTTTGAATATTTCATCTTTATGGTATATTTTCAGAATTTGACTATTTATGTGTCTAGATGTGATTTTCTTGTATTTACCTGGCTTGATGTTTGAAGAGCTTTGCAAACATAAAAAAAGTTAATGCTATTTAAATAAATTTGGGGCAATTTCAACCACTATTATTTCAAATGCTTTTTTATTCCAGCCTGTCTTTTGTGAATTTATTACATTCATGTTACAGTGCATGGTAGGTCTCCAATACCGATGAGCCTCTGTCTATTTTTAAAAACTCTTCCCTTTTTGTTCCTCAGATGAGATCATTTGTATTGACTGTCTTTAAGTTTACTGTACCTCCTTCTATTGTTTCCAATGTGTTATTAAGTCATTCAGCACTTTTGAAATTTCAGGTACTCTTCAGTTCTTGAATTCTCCCTCAACTTGTAGGGAGTGTGTGTGTACAACATCATGCTGGATGTAATAGGCAATGCATTGCAAGGATTTGGGATTATGTTGTCTTTCTTTAATGGGCATTAAAACTTCACTCTGACAGACAAGTTTCTGGCAAGCTCATAAGTTTGTCAGGCTTTACTTTATTCTTTACTGGAGTTGTGTGTTTTGTTCTTTACTGGAGTTGTATGTTGTTTGCTTTATTCTTTACCGGAGTTTTGTGCTTATTCAGGCCTGTGGACCATTCTCAGGGGTGTAGTCCTTGTTCCTGGGACCTCATCTGAATGTCCCACATCCTCCCTGCAGTCTCTCCAGCCAGCGGGTGCCCTGTGTCCTGGGGATCTAGAGTGGCCCCTTCAACCCCTCAGCTCCACAGTGGCCGCTTGCCCTCAGGAGCCTCATGGAATCTCACCTGTGCAAAGCACAGCACAGCCATGAGCTGAGGACACACGGCTGAAGTCCGCAGACCCCGGGGCCCTCCCGTTCCTCATCTCCGGTGCCTGCCCCGGTGTCCCAGGCGTTGAGCAGTGCTCCCGTCACCTCTTCAGTGCAGCAGGAGCGCTGAGCTGTGTTTGTGCTCATCTCCCTGAGTGACCCAGAAAGTACCTCCAGGGAGATGGCCAGGGTGAAAGTGTGGCTTAACTCATTTTCCCTGCTCTTCAGGGCCATGGTCCTGCACTGCCTGCTGTCCAGGGGCGCATAGATTTTGTTCAGTTTTATTGTTTCTCACCACACGTGTGGCTGGTAGCAATGACTCAGCCAAGACTGGAAGCACTGGACCTGGGTTTAACCCCCAGGCCCCAGGATGGCTCCATCCTCTGACTGCTTCTTGTCCAGCAGCTCCTTCAGCACCTGATTACCAGGACAGTGTGGTGGCCAAGAGCCCGCCTGCCTGGGTTCTAAGCCTGCTTCCACCCCCAGGACCTCTGAGACACCAGGTGAGAACCTCTGTAGCTCTGTGCCTCAGTTTCCCGGGCTGCAAAACAAGGATGGTGATAGCGTCTACCTCACAACGTTGTTAACGGGGATCAAACAAGTTAATCTCCATAAAATACTTAGAACACTGCCAGGTACAGCACACCTTCTCAGTGAATATTAGCTGTTATCATTGATGCTGCTTTGCACTTTTTGGACAAATTTAACTGTTTTTATTTCATTATTTAAAATACATTGTTTATTTTAGAATAGTTTTAGATTTACAGAAAAATTCAAAGATGACATAGGGAGTTCTCTTCAGCTCACAGCCTGTTTCTCCTGCACAGTTATAGCGTTCATTTGGTACAATTCAGGAATGAATACTGACACGTTATCAGCAACTGAAGTTCATATTTTATTCAGATTTCCGTATGGTTTGCCTAATTTTCATTTTCCGCATCAGGATCCCGTCCAAACACCACATTACATTTAGTTGCCACATCTCCTCAGGCTCCTCTTGGCTGTGACAGTTTCTCAGACTTCCTTTGTTTCTGAGACTTTCAGAGTTGACAGGAACACTGCTCAGGTATTGCTCAGATCTCCCTCAACTGGGATTTGTCTGCCTTTTCCCTTGTGATTAGACAGGGATGCTGTGTTCTACGTAGGAGGGCCATAGGGGTGAAGTGCCATTACCACCACAGCCTTTCAAGGGCACAAACAAAGGGCGAGTCAGCAGGACTCAGCCCTGCAGATGCTCACCTCCAACACCTGCTGAGGACACAAGCCATCCTCAGGACTCACCCCCACGGAGCCTCACCTCCCTCACCTGCTAAGGACACAAACCATCCCCAGGACTCACTCCCACTGAGGCTCACCTCCATCACCTGCTGAGAACACAAACCATCACCAGGACTCACCCCTGCTGAGGCTCACCTCCTTCACCTGCTGAAAACACCAACAATCCCCAGGACTCACCCCTGCTAATGCTCACCTCCATCACCAGCTGAGAATACAAACCATCCCTAGGACTCACCTGCTGAGGGAGAGAGCACCAGCAGGACTCACTGCTGCTGATGCAATGAGTCACCTCCATTACCTGGCTCTGGGAAGACCTTCTCTGGTTTTATTTAAGTGGATCTGGCCCTGGCTGTTCTTGAACCAACAAAGTGGGAAATTTCTTGGAAGCTGCAAATGTGCTAATTATTTACAACTTCCTATTGCCTAGCATAGTAGTATGCACACTCAGGAAATGTCTTTTACACTATTTTCTAAGAATGCAGTGGGACTTTATTCCATAGAAGAGGAAGGCAAAGGCTGTGACAGGCATCTTTCTCATTGTGAGCTGCTGCCAAAGCCAGTGCTCCTGTGTATCTCCTGGGTGAGGGTTTCCCAAGGGGCCTTTTCACTCCTGAGGCTCAAGATGAATTCTTCCAGTTACTGTCTCAAGCTCTGAATCCAACTTGATCTCAACTCCAGGTAGGTGCTCTCAGGTATGGAGAAGGGAAGAAAAGGTAAAAATTAATAAGGGCTTCATATAACTCTGCAACATCATGGGGCTATGGAGCGTGTATCTCTTGTAAATATTTGAAATTTCTGTAATTCTATCTTGAAAACACCTCTAAATTTGCTGGGTTTTTTTCCGACTAATTATCCTCTTTAATGGACTCTATAAATAGTTTAAAATATCTGCTTCTCCTTGACCTTCCTGTGAGGAAAATTATTACTGGAAACAATTATTATATACCTGGAAATTTTCCATTGGGATTTGTGCCCTTAAAGCAGCTGATAACATTTAAATACTTTCAACATAGTGAAATTTTGCTTCGTGATCATGCATTTTTAAAAGTCTAGCCAGGGGCCCTGAAAGTAATTCTATAACCACATAATGGTCCTCTGCCCTTTAAGGTACAAAAATGTGTTACAGAAAATGTTGAACAGAAGTTGCTCCATGTGAAACAGGAAAGGTTCCCTTGTTCCCCTCGCAGGGCGTGCGCTGGGGGCGTGGCTCGCTTCTTCTGTGCCCCGCTGCTCAAACCTCTACGGAAACACACAGACAGGCAGGTTGTGGGGCTCCCACCCTACAGCAGTGTCTAAGGGTGAATGTTTACAGTTCCTGAAGCCCCTGTGGGCGTGTGTTACAGGGTGCTCTCTTAATTTGCCATCTATAGGCAGCTTGTGTTAGCTCAATTAGACCCTCTACCTTGTCACAAAGACAGAGGGCTTTCTGTATCCCGGGCTTTCTTGCCTTAGTTTACTGGAAGAATTGGATCACACGTGGGCTTAGAGAATGAGTGCAAGGTTTTATTGAGTAGAAGTAGCTCTCAGCAGATGGGGCAGCCAGAAGGGAGATGGTTTTCCCCTGGAGTCCAGCAGCTCAATGACCCGACTCTTCTCTGACAACTCTGGCCAAACTCTGTGTTGCTCCACCAGCCAATGGCTCCATGGCCTGCTGGCCTGCCCGTGCCTGTCGGCATGCTCTTCCGCAGGGTGGGCGCTCCACGACCAGCTGCTTGTGTCTTATTCCACCGATATCTTCCTCGTGACGTCCAGCCTCTTCTATCTCTGCCTTGCTAGGGTCTTGGGTTTTTATAGGCACAGGACAGGAACATGGCAGGTCACAGTGGTCTTGGGAAATGCAACAATAATGCCTGTCCTCACCTAGGTCCGTGTGGGTGGAGCCCCAGCCAGGGACCACACCCTCCTCTACCCAGCACTTCCCTTCTCCCTTCCGTATCATTTAAAGGGACCAGGCTCTTCCCTTCCCAGCACTTCCATATCATTTCCCCTCTCTGAAGAAGTGCATTTAACTGCCATTAGAATAGGGATGATGACCAGTCTTAGCTGCTTCCTGCTGACAGGGGGCGTTGTTTTGGGGAAAATGGCAGTCAGACTCCTCCCAGAGGTCTACCTAAGGGTTCCTAGCAAAGCAGAGCCACTGTTGGAGGCTCTGGTTGCCTGACCTTTTGGAGTTTGATGGCTTCTAGGCGTGAGAGAAAAAAACAAGTTTTATAAGGTTAAGTATGCATGGGTTCAATATATGTATTATACAAGGAAAGAATTTAGTTCCAAAGATTAAACAGAAAAGAAGATAAATATACTAACAACAACATTGTACCCGAAGCTGTTCCACCCTGGTGAAAGACATTCAACCTTGTATGGGAGCAGTTAAACTTTAGAAGAGGTAACTGTTCTTGACATATCTTTTAGCAGTTAGCAAGTGCACCCCAGGAATACCTGTATCTCCTCACTCTTTCCTGGGCCTCCTTTTTTATTATAAAAGACCGAGGTGACCACTTTCAGGTGGTCCTCTAATGTACTATCTGGTCTAAGGGTCCATTTATGCAACTTTCTGCTGATATCAGGAGCTGCCTGAGTAATAAGTTTATCCTTTAGGATTAGCTATCCCTCAGCTGAATCAGGGGATGGTGAGGTGTGTTTTACCAAGGACTCTCTTAGCCTTTCCAGGAAGGTGGTGGTCTTTTCATCCAATCCCTGGTCAGTCATGGACAAGTTAGTATAATTGAGAGGCTTGGTCCTAGTCCTACGTAAGCCCTCCATTATGCACACCTGAAAGTGTCTCCTCTTCTTCCAGTCTGCCACCTCGTCATTGGGATCCCATTTACGGTCATTCACTTGTACTGCTTCTCTCCCAGTTGGATAATATTCACCCCCTTCCCTGACGCTATATGTGATACAAAGCTCATCCACAAATCTCTCTGCTGCTTGCAGGGCAGCCTGCTTCTCAGTGTCTGTCAAGGTCTAATTCAAAAGTAACATAACGTCTCTCCAGGAGAGTTCAAATATTTGGGTGAAATTCTGGAAAGCCTCTATATATCTATCAGGGTTATCTGAAAACTTGCCAAGATTCCCCTTAATTGGCTATAAATCCTGTAGGGAGAAGGGGACCTGGACCTTACTGGGCCCAAATTCACTGGGCATCTGTTGGAGGGTCAAAAGTGAGACTGGGGCTTGTTTAGGTTGAGAATTTCTAGGCAGGAGCAAGTGAGAGGCTGAAGCTGGATAGGGAGATCAGGGTGAACCCAGAGAAGCAGGGATGGAGGGAGCTGGATCCTCTCCTGGAGGTGCCTCTGGGACTCGTATCTTTACTTCCCTGGGCCTGCCCCTTGCAGCCTTCCCTGAGACAGCAAACAGGAGGGCTGGATCAATCCTGCACTGTCGGCAAAGGTCTGGATTGACTTGCAAGTTATACAAAGCCTGCACATATGGGGCCATCTGTCCTCACATCTACAGAAAAGTTCCAATTGCCAGATTGTATCAAAATGAATTGTTCCTTCTTGAGGCCAAGCCTTTGTGCAGAGCGCTATGAGGCACTTTTCCTCCAGATTTGGAGGGTCAAAGCAGTGGTTCAGGACACACTCCAGAGGAGTATAAGCTGGGAGTGGTGAAGAGAACTGGTTGTCCTTCTGAAAGACAGGGAATAGAGGTGTCCCTCATTTCCTTCCTTCTTTCAGTGAAAACCCAGGCGTGACGGAGAAAGTGAGCATCCTCCCTCCACTCCCCATCCTTTATCCCTGAGCTGGACATAGGTACCACTGCAGTATGTACCCCTGAAGCAAGGAAACCTGGAGAGTAGGAATTAACCACCCTCACCTATGCTTCACTTTCTCCCTGCTGTTGGCACACTGATTTCCCTGGGTCTGTTTATTCCATGAAGCATAGCCTCCTTCCATGGGGTGGGAGATTTAGTCAGCGGGAATTGGTCCTGCCCATTTACATTATGCCTGGGGTGGGGGATTTAGTCAGTGGGAATTGGTCCTACCCATTTACATTATGCCTGCTGCCTGGCTTTGGGTCCCTCAGACCTGGTTTTTCTTTTTAAGTCCTCAGCCTGAAGCTTGGAATCAAGTTTGGGACTGAAAAAGTATTTTAGAGGCTGTTTGTATCTGTTTAGAGTGTCCCAAAGATGCCCTGCTGAATTTGCAGTTCTCAGCCAGCAGAGTCCATTCCTCCATTAACTTCTCTGTCAGAAACAGTGTGTGGCGGGGGACCTCTCACTTAGAAAAGGAAACAAAGAGAAAAACAGTTTAAGGGGTAAAATGGGGGAGATTCTGGGGGAAGAATCCCTTGCTTAGTGCAAGTGGGCCCCCTAATCCTTATATCTTTCCCCTAGTTCAGACCAGGTTGAATTCCTTGGACAAGGGAGAAAAGGTTCCATTGGCATGGCAGGTGAGAAGCACCCTGTCCATTGGCCCTGTGGGGTTGTGGCTACTGTCACAGCTTTCTCCCGCAACCACTTGTGGATGTTGGGATCAGCCTTTGTCTACCGTGGGCAAACCTAAGTGCCCGAGCTAGGAGAAGAAAGGATAAGGAGAGGTGCACTGAGCCATGAGTGCCTGTGGCTGTAGAGATGGAGGCATACATGGCACTTCTAGGAACAGTTGGTCTGATTTGCACCTTTGACAGCTGAGTCAAATGCTTACTTTACTTAGTGACATTGCTGTAGCCTGTAGTGAAACTCTTAACGCTATAAAGACACAAGAGCCATTTCAAACCATGTGAGAGAGAGAAAAGAGACAAAGTCTGGGGGTTTTGACTGGCCAGTTAGGGCAGAGTTTTTGAAGGAAAACACAGCCTCTTACCCACGGAGAGAGAGATGGCAGGGTTTTGGAAGAGAGGCAGGCCCAACAGCTTTGCATTCATTCACACTCACCTTCCAGGATCCCGGACAAGCCCCCAGTTGAAATAGGGAAGGTTCCCTTGTTCCCCTCACAGGGGATGCGATGGGGGTGTGGCTCACTTCTTCAGTGCCCTGCTGCTCAAACCTCTAGGGGAGCATTTGGACAGGCAAGCTGTGGGGCTCCAATCCCATGGCAGTGTCTAGGGGTGAATGTTTACAGCTCCTGAAGCTCCAGTGGGCATGTGTTACAAGGTGCTCTTTTAGTTTGCCATCTACAGGCAGCTTGTGTTAACCAGCTCAGTTAGACCCTCTACCTTGTCACAAGGACAGAGGGCTTTCTGTATCCTGGGGTTTCTTGCCTTGATGTACCAGAAGAATCAGATCACATGTGGGCCTGGAGAATGACTGCAAGGTTTTATTGAGTAGAAATAGCTCTCAGTGGATGGGGGAGCCAGAAGGGAGATGGTTTTCCCCTGGAGTCCGGCAGCTCAGTGACCTGGCTCTTCTCTGACCACTCCAGCCAAATTCGGCATCATTTTGCCAGTCGATGGCCTGCTGGCATGCCGGTACCTGCCTGCGTGCCAGTGCCTATCGGCGTGCTCTTCCACTGGTGAGCTCTTGATGACTAGCCGCTTGTGTGGTCTTCCACTGATGTGTTCCTCATGACGTCCAGCTGCTTCTATCTCTGCCTTATTAGGGTCTTGGGTTTTTATAGGCACAGGATGGGGGCATGGCAGGCCAGGGTGGTCTTGGGAAATGCAACAAAAATGCCTGTCCTTAACCTAGGTCTGTGTGGTTGGAGTACTAGCCAGGGACCACATCCTCCTCCACACAGCACTTCCTTTCCCCCTTCTGTATCATTTAAAGGGACCACGCTCTTCCCTTCCCAGCACTCCCATATCACATGTTCACTAAATTACACAATAAAACATAACAAATACATTTATATGTTTAATATGTTAATCCTTTTTTGTTCTTTATCACCGAAACCATTTTCTAGTATTCTTTTATTTAGAAAAATATGAATAAACATATTTTACTGATTATTTCTCATTTTGTCCTTGCATAATAATTCAACATGGTCATCCTCTTAGAAACTAGCAAAGATTTGTACTCAGACATGTAGCAGGTTGGTGAAGGAATGCTAGTAGAACATAGAGCCATATGCTATTTCCTCTATAGCTTCTGCTTGCTCCTTAGGCACAAAAAGTGGTGAGAGAGCATATTAAACCTCTGAGGGACTATGACCCCATTAATTCCTTTCCCTAGGGAGTCCTGGGAGTAATCCCGAGAAGTATGAAAGCTACTTAACTCCAGAAGTTTTTAGTCTCATTATGTAAATGACCTATTTCAGGGTAATAAATGTTGCCCAAATGCCCTGCAAGAAATGTTGCCACACATAGAGTATTCAGTTCTATTTTGTTTTGGGAACCCATCATTGAGCAAAAGAATACTCCATGTAGGAAAATGCTTTTCAAAGAGAAAAGAAAGCTGAAAGTAGAAGTCAGCAGACCCAACTTTCTCTTCTGATTTTTCAGTTCACCTGCTGACCCCTAGTGCCCTGCTGGCCCCAGGTTCACATGTTGCCTTAAATATTTTCCTTTACTCTGAGTTAGTCTGCCATTTCATAAATGGAATTTAATACGAAGGAAAAGATGGGGAAAAAAGGCAAAGAAACATAAAAGAGTAGTGTGCAAAAGTTCTGATTAAGGAAATCAATAATTCTTTTAGGAAAAGGGCTCTACAAAACTCCAGTGTCATTACTGTGATGCTTAAAATATCAACTTGAATGTCCCTTGCCCAATTCCTTTCTCCCAGCATTTTGAGCGCTATCTTGTTTCCCAGGCACCAGGAAACTGGTCTACCTGAACATCTGACTCTATTCCAGAACATATTTGAACTTTCCAAAACAGAACCTTTTCTTTTGTCTGAGATAGGAACTCAACTTCATACTCATTTTCCATTTTTATTCTGGGAAAACCTTACATGCACCTATTTTCTCTTAGCAGTGAGTCCCAATGAGCTGTAGCTTGTCCTGGCTCAGGTCTCAGATGTCCCCTCTCTGGAATCCTTGGATGACTCATTAAGATAAGCCTCACCTCCTTTCACACACACAGATTTGCAGAGTCCATCCATGGCAGGTGCACAATTTAATATTATGTTAGCCATATAGTAAAAATGATAGGCATACAATAAAAATTGGTATACATGTAGCCACAGAAGGCACCTCCTCTCACTCTTGCCTTAATCACAGTAATGAATCTCACAGCAATACCATCTAGAAATGATGTGATATACAGCCTGAGTGAGAAATTATGTCTGCAAGTGATTTCTTCAGCCTTTGGGTCTAAAAGACAGTGTAAACTTTCATGACAAGATAAGAATTTTTCAAACTATGCACTTACTTCTTCTGATGCACCCACAGGCCTAAAAGACCTTGGCAGGGGGCAGCCGTCCACTGCATTTTGAAGCAGGTAAATGTGTCGTTGTGTCTTTCCACCACTTCACTTTCCCCAGTTGACCTCCTGGCTTCTCCTGCAAGCCCATCCAAGATTTGTACAACGCATACCATTTCTCAAAATCTCCCATGTGCCAAAATATTCCAGTCTAATCTTCAATCATAATCATATTTTTAAATTCTAATCTCTGTTGAAAGCTAAAGGAAAGCATTCTGATTAACAAGCCCATGAGGCAGGAGTAAACTAGAACCACTGCATTTTCTTCACTTTCCCCTCATGCATTAAACTCTCTCTTCCCTTGGCGTCTGCCATGTGATCATTCTACTTGTGAAACCAACCCAATAATCCCATAGACAGGGTTTTTTTTAATAAACATGGAAATTGACCTTTCTAGTCTTAAAGTGTGACACTTACAATTGTTTTATCTGAGCTTCCCCTTCAGGAAAGGACCCCCAGGCCTCTCAGAAAGTAACAAAGGACTGAAACTCACCAGATCATGGCATCCAGACCATGAGACGACCAGGGCCCTCACTGATCATGATTGCTTTCCTACCCCTCCGGAGTTCCTGTTTTCCACACATTGTTAAATTTCTCTCCTGCTAGATAAGCCCCTAGTTTTAGTCAGTCAGGAGTTGGATTCGAGATGGACCATCCCCCATCTCCTCAGCTGCAGCACCCAACTAAAGCCTTCTTCCTTGGCAACATACCTCATCTCAGTGATAGACTTCTGTGAGGCCAGCAGCAGGATTTAGAACAAGCCCCTGGGGTTTCAATAACAATTGTTTTTACATTTTTTCTGCTTTTCCCTCCCTCCAACTGCTACTCTATTGTTTCTTTCACAAGCCTATTTCCCTTTACATGGCTGTTTAATGTTGTTCCTCAAGGCTGGGTCCTAGGCCTTCTTAGATGTGCCCACTGAGCTCCCTAATTTTCAGGCTATCTTTAAATCTGCTCTCCCCCTACCTGGAATGTATTTCCCTCTCCTCCTAACTTGGAGAATTTAACTCATCTTTAAGAATCAACTGAAGCATTGTCTCCCTCACAAGGCTTCCCTGATCAGCTTCTCCTGGGGGCAGTGCCTTTCTGGCTTTGGTGAGTGTCCCTGGAGTAGCCCCTGTGATCTGCTTCATTGTTTAGCTCTGATGAGCATGAGGACGTTGGCCATCCATCTCCTCCTCTTGACAGGGGCTGCATGGCCATCATGCTTGGCTCCCCAGTGCCCACCAGAGTTCCTGATGCAAAGTAGTCACATCAGTATTTACTGAAGAAAGGAACTTGGAAAGGTGGTAAACAGGAACTGATGCTTGGCACTTTCAGGCACATCATAGCCTCCTGGCAAACACTGTACAGTTGACCTTTGAATAACACAGGGGTCAGGAGTGCCACTGACCCGTGCTGTTGACTCCTCAAAAACTTAACTACTTATAGCCTGCTGTTGACTGAAACCTTCTCAACAACATAAACAGTGGTTTAACACATATTGTGTATGTTGTATGCATTATATCCTATATTCTCACAATGAAGTAAGTTAGGGAAAAGAAAATGTTATTAAGAAAATGATAAGGAAGGAAAGTATATTAATTATTCACAAAGTGGAAGTGGATTATCATAAAGGTCTTCATCCTTGTCTTCACATTGAGTAGGTTGAGAAGTGGGAGGAAGGAGGAGGGTTGGTTTTGCTGGCTTAGGCGTGGCAGAGGAAGAAGAAAATCTACATGTAAGTGGACACTCACAGCTCAAACTCATGTTGTTCAACGGTCAACTATACTTATAAAATACACAAGACCTGGGATATGAAGAGCCCAGAGAGGAAAATATATATCACAGTGGTCAATAAGAACATTTGTATAGGGCTTTGTAGTTAAAATTACTTTTCCTATCTTCTCCCCACAGTAATCTCATGAGGTAGACAGGGCACCATCATCTCCACTGGGCAGCTGTAGAAACCGTGACTCTGCGAGTTTAAGTGATTGACAGAAGGTTATAGGTTTATACATTCTAGGGGCGGACAAAGAACACAGGTTTTCCATGGTGATGTGGAACTTTTTCCATAATACCTTAGACGTGACTTCTTTTTCTGTATAATTTGATGAGAAAAGACCCAGAAGTGGTAGTTTCTAACTTATCAATATATAGCAACCTAATATGTGTCTCCTAGAACTGTACATCTTTACCTATACTACAGAGAAAGCCACACCAGACAGAAACTTAGTTAAAACTCTTCTTGTATTTGCTGTATAACTCATTTATGACTCTGAAACCCTGTAATACTATTGTGTTCAGAATTGGTTCCTCCCAGTGGGTTCTTGGTCTGGCTGACTTAAGTAATGAAGGCCCAGGCCCCTCACAGTGAGTGTTACAGCTCTTAAAGGTGGCACGTCTGGACTTGTTTGTTCCTCTGGGTGGGTTCGCGGTCTCACTGACTTCAGGAGGAAAGCTGCAGACCTTCGCAGTGTTACGGCTCTTAAAGGTAGTGTAGACCCAAAGAGTGAGCAGCAACAATGAAGAGCGAAAAAACAAACCTTCCGCAGCCGAGAAGGGGACCTGAACAGGTTGCTGCTGCTGGCTTGGATGGCCAGCTTTTATTTCCTTATTTGGCCCTGCCTATGTCCTGCTGATTGATCAATCTTACAGAGTGCTGACTGGTCCATTTTTACAGAGTCCTGATTGGTGCATTTAGAAACCTTTACCTAGACACAGAGCACTGATTGGTGCGTTTACAATCCTTTAGCTAGAAAGAGAAGTTCTCCAAGTCCCCACCCGACCCAGAAGCCCAGCCGCTTCATATCTCACTATCAGCTGTGATCATAAGCTTACCTAGAAAGGTGGGGGCTTGGGCTGGGCGCAGTGGCTCACATGTGTAATCCCAGAACTTTGAGAGGCTGAGGTGGGTGGATCACAAAATCAAGAGTTCGAGACCAGCCTGACCAACATGGTGAAACCCCATCTCTACTAAAAATACAAAAATTAGCTGGACGTGGTGGCAGGTGCCTTTAATCCCAGCTACTCAGGAGGCTGAGGCAGGAGAATCACTTGAATCCAGGAGGTGGAGGTTGCAGTGAGGTGAGATTGCGCCATTGCACTCCAGTGCTCCAGCCTGGGTAACAGAGCAAGACACCGTCTCAAAAAAAAAAAAAAAATGTGGGGGCTTGATATGAGGTGCTCAGATCTGGTCACCTTCCAGGGGTGCAGGTGGCCAAGGGGCAGCAGGACATGGCTAGGGGTGGGACACAATCAAATCAGAGATGTTTCCTATACTTGAATGGTCTCTCATACATCTCACTGCAGTGCTGTCTCCTTGGTGCAGAGTACACACAGGAAAATCTTTTGAGGCTACATCACTTGGTTGGACTGGAGCATGGCTACGAAGAAAACTATTGGGGCCAATCCCCAACCTCTAAACTTCACAGATTTATTTTTCCATCAAACTATTGACATACGGCAACATTGAGAACTTCAGCATCATCGAAACCTCCGCCAGGTGTCTTGCAGAGCCGTCACAGTTCACATCAGCATACTGCACAAACAAAAAAGACTTGAAGAATGAGGGAATTGAATACACAGCGTTCTCGAGCCTGAGAGATATGCTGGGAGAAGATCTATGAAAACAGATTCGGTGCTGCATACACACTGTGCCCATCACAGCCTCCAGAGATGATGCTGGCTGGTAGGTGCCAAGCATGGGACTCTGCACTCACTTGTACTCATAGACGCTAATGGATACTTTCAATTTAAATCTAGAATTGTCTTTTCATTTCGAGAGTAAACATGAAAAAGAATGGTTTCAAGACAGCGAGCCTGCCATGAAATAGTTACTGTGTCTTATAATTTGATGTTATTGAATTTAATGAAAAGTCCAGAAAGACAGCACAATTGATGTCAACATGCTGAAGCTTGAGGTCAGGAACCATGAAACCCTTCTGTGGGTCCATCAAAGATGGGAAGCCAAAATCTTCCAATGATGTGGAGACCATGGATTGCTCACCCACAGAGTCCCCTACAGAGGGGCTTTTAGGAGGTCACCAGTAAGACCAGGAACTTTTTCTCATAATTGAACAGAATTTGTGTGCTTCTAGTCACTCATTTGTTAATTTATAATGAATTATTACGGAACATGTCAGGCATGATACTTGGCAAAATAAATACTACAACCAATGTTGGGAGGCCGAGGTGGATGGATCATGAGGTCAGGAGATTGAGACCATCCTGGCTAACACAGTGAAACCCTGTCTCTACTAAAAATACAAAAAAATTAGCCAGGCGTGGTGGCATGCACCTGTAACCCCAGGTACTCGGGAGGCTGAGGCAGGAGAATCGCTTGGACCCAGGAGGCGGAGGTTGCAGTGAGCCTGAGATTGTGCCACTGCACTCCAGCCTGGGCGACAGAGTGAGACTCTGTCTCAAAAAAAAAAAAGAAATATTACAACCAACAATGCATGGCCCCTGCCTTAGCTCAGGGTGGGTGTGATGATGGCTTTTTGGCTGACAGGGCCAAAGGAGCCCTGACCACAGACCAGGCAGGGGTGGGGTTCCCAGTGCAGAGCCCCGACCCTAAGGCTGCCAGCAGCCATCTCTGCAGAAGGGACTAGAAGCTGCTTCCTGCATGCACAGGTTGGTGAAGCAGTGGGAAGCTCCTGTTGCTTGCACCTCTGGCTCTAGTGACCGCATGAAGGAGGTGCCAGCAAGCACGAGTCCACATCAGGAGCCCAGAGGCCAGGATGGGAAGGGGGTGTACAGTGGTGGTTAGTGCCCGGGCTCTCAAGTCAGCACCTGCGTTCCCATCTCAGCCCTCCCATTTATTATTAATAGTTGGGAGACTTTGGACAACTGGATACTCTTTCCTGAATCTTAGTTGTTCCAGCTATGAAACAGTCTAAGCCTGGTACGTGCCTCCTGAGTCTATGCAAACTGCAAGGGATCGTGTATGGAAAGCATCAGCACAGCACCTGGCCATGACACAGTTTCCCTGGGTTCATCCTAACGGTGGCCCCCCACTGGGGCTCCCTGCCACAGTGCCCCCATCCCGGGGCTCCCCCCAACAGGACCTTTGCATGGCCTGAGCTTGGCTTCAGCTTGCTGAATTATAACTCGTTAGTTCACATGTCTGCCTCCTGCCTATTCCAAGAACAGCTCCCACCTGGAACAGCAGCTTGTGTGTATCTGTATTCCTAGCACATACCATCTATTCCCAACACATAGTAAATATGCAATAAACATTTTTGAGTCAAATACTTGTGTTACGAAGGAAAGTTATGAGTCATAAAGTTTTCTTAGATTTTGATAAAACCAGGGGGCTAACATAAGATAAGGAAATGTCAAGTCTGCAATGTTGAGTATTTTCTCTTCCATACCTTCATTATTACCCCAGTTCTGACCACGTGGGCCAGGAGACACAAAAGGACTTGCTCCTGTTTTTCTTTTAGGTAAATCATTTCTCATACTTTCTCAGTGAGTCTGTGATAATAGAGACAACAGTGATGTCAGAATATTCTGGAAGGACGGAAAGCATGGCCCGGTTTCAGCTTGGGATGCTGATATCATTCTGGGGTTTTTCCAGCACATTCATCAATAAAGACCCATGCAAATTAGAATCCTGGAACAGCATGACAAAGTCAGTCCTAAAATCCTGCAGGTGCTTCTGATGCCGGCAGGAGGTGGGGGCGGGGGAGGGGGGCGCGGGGGGTGGGGAGCGGGGGAAGGAGCCTGACGGAGGAGGTAGCAGCGACCTGGATCTCGAACCACTGCTGTCCTCTTGTGGCCTGGCAGATGATGTGCTTCTGCTCACCAACTCAGTTCAGTCAGAAACTGGAGCTTCCAGGGCCACCCTCGTCATGCTCCAAAAGCTGCAGTGGAAATTGAGTTTATTTTTCCAAAGAATGCATAATAAGAAAGAACTCTCTGCTTAATGCATTGCCCAGGATGAGTGTGACCTACTGCAACTGGGTTATGAAAAGACAAAAATAACTGTGCCTGTCAGGAAAGAAGGCTGCATTCTGAAGTGGAATTTACCCAGACCCTTGGTCCTGGTAGAAGGGTAGTATTCTTTCACTGAGGTGTGGACACCTTGGCGTCAACATCACGGTGGGACAGAGGGCACCCCAGCTGATGTGACACGAGGGGTCCTGTCTCAGCCTCAGGACCGAATGGTAGCAAGGAGCTGGATATGACAAATCTCTCCCCTTCTAAACTCAGGACTTCAGAGCAGTCAGTATGTTAGGCTATTTCACCAGAAATCATTATCTTTGTTCTATAAGTCCCTCATTTTGAGCAGCATCAAAATACACTTTGTCATTTTTGTCATTTGGCTCATTTGTTTAGTTAACAAATGTGCACTTAGCACTCACCATGAGCCAGCCATCTCAAGGGTCCCACAGACACTCATCCCTGTCCTGGGGCTCACCTTGTTAAACTCTCTCTCTCTCTCTTTCTCTCTCTCTGTGTCTGTCTGCCCCCCATTTCTACCCACCCCATGACCACACACACTTGGATGCCTAGGTTTTTGTGTGAGGCTCACATGACAACTCATTAGCTGCTAGTTGAGTTGGCTGCTGCAAAGTTCTCCACAGGGACGCCCAGAGCACATTTCTGCCCAGATCAGACTGAAATCCATGTGGACACCAGGAATAAATGACTGGTATATAGAAAGCTTTCTACATCTCAAAGATTCTCTACTTCAGGCATGCACAGGAAGAGGTCCTCTCAGCCTCTCAGGATGCAAAGCAGGAGCCCGGGTTTCTCTGGAGAAAGGAAAGGGGCTGTTCCACAGAGTAGCCCTAAGGATGCCCCGATCAGGCCTTCCTAGGGGTGGCAAAGAGTCCTCCAGGCTGTTACCTACTGAGAGCTAGAGATGCTGTCTGCTGGAACCTTCCTTTCTGTCCAGTGTTTTCTTGCATCTACCTTCGGATTAACAAAATAGTAAATGCTGGATGTAGAACACCGTGCAATGTTTGGAGTTTTCTAATCCAGCTAGTGTAGTTGCCCAAGGCTGGGTCTGCTGGTCTGTGTGGCTGTGGCCCCAGGGGACGCCAAGCCCCAGCTGCAGGTCCAGGCCCTACTGGGACGAACATGAGGAAGGAAAGACCAACAGAAGTGCCCCTGTCCTCCCATACCCCATGGGAGTACTGCTGTGAGGGCTGCATGACAGGTGCCAGAGCAAGGGTGGCTTTTCCGGGGCTCTTCACGCTGGAGGGCTTACTTTCTCACTCACAGCTCCTCTGCGCATTCATTTGAGTAACATTTCAATGTGGAGCTCAGTGTCCCAAGGAGCTGTCTGCCTGGGGCCCCTCACCTGTCTGTAGGGGGCCCCTCACCTGTCTGTAGATGGCCCCGAGAAGAGCATGCAAAGTGAGGAGAATGAGTGGGATGGTTGAACAGGTACATCAGTCCCATTCTGCATCCCTGATCCTTCATCAGAGGAAGCAGCGCATCATCCTGAAGGAAAAGTCAGGCTGACCTCAGATCGAATCCAGCTCTGCCATTCAGCTGTGTTAATCAACCTACTGACCCTATTTCCTCATCTGTAAAATGGGTGCAAGAATATAAACCTCACAGGATGGTCATGAGACTTAAGTGAGCTTATATAAAGTGTCTAGGACAGTTTCTGGAACATAGAAATTAATAAATGGGAATAGTTGTGTACATTGCATTTTTGCCTAAAAGGAATGGGAAACCTTTAGGGCCAATGAAGGAGAACAGGGGAACACCATGTCCACTTTCCCAAAAAAGTGCATCTCAGGATACAGTGAGACCACCAGCTAAAGCGTGCAAAGCAGAATTCAATAGATGACCACTGAGGTCCGACAGGCCTGACTTCTTCCACACACTCAGTGTATCAGACTGGATGAAAGAAGGAAATAGGGGCCTCTGTGAGCACATCAGAAGTTATCCTTGCAAAAGTGAAGAAAGGTGAGCCGCACGATCCTGTCTGTGGCGCATTGGAGGAAGCCTGATTGACTGTCTTTATAGGAGCACACGGGGGCCTCACAGGAGCTGAGGGACAGCATGGGATGTGAGGGGCTCTGAGTGAGAAGACCGTTGATGACATGATGTCAGGGGCTCTGAGGGAGAAGGGGCCCATGAGATGATGTGAGGGGCTCTGAGCTGAGAAGACCGTTGATGACATGATGTCAGGGGCTCTGAGGGAGAAGGGGCCCATGAGATGATGTGAGGGGCTCAGAGCTGAGAAGACCGTTGATGAGATGATGTCAGGGGCTCTGAGGGAGAAGGGGCCCATGAGATGATGTGAGGGGCTCTGAGCTGAGAAGACCGTTGATGACATGATGTCAGGGGCTCTGAGGGAGAAGGGGCCCATGAGATGATGTGAGGGGCTCTGAGCTGAGAAGACCGTTGATGACATGATGTCAGGGGCTCTGAGGGAGAAGGGGCCCATGAGATGATGTGAGGGGCTCTGAGCTGAGAAGACCGTTGATGACATGATGTCAGGGGCTCTGAGGGAGAAGGGGCCCATGAGATGATGTGAGGGGCTCTGAGCTGAGAAGACCGTTGATGACATGATGTCAGGGGCTCTGAGGGAGAAGGGGCCCATGAGATGATGTGAGGGGCTCTGAGCTGAGAAGACCGTTGATGACATGATGTCAGGGGCTCTGAGGGAGAAGGGGCCCATGAGATGATGTGAGGGGCTCAGAGCTGAGAAGACCGTTGATGAGATGATGTCAGGGGCTCTGAGGGAGAAGGGGCCCATGAGATGATGTGAGGGGCTCTGAGCTGAGAAGACCGTTGATGACATGATGTCAGGGGCTCTGAGGGAGAAGGGGCCCATGAGATGATGTGAGGGGCTCTGAGCTGAGAAGACCGTTGATGACATGATGTCAGGGGCTCTGAGGGAGAAGGGGCCCATGAGATGATGTGAGGGGCTCTGAGCTGAGAAGACCGTTGATGACATGATGTCAGGGGCTCTGAGGGAGAAGGGGCCCATGAGATGATGTGAGGGGCTCAGAGCTGAGAAGACCGTTGATGAGATGATGTCAGGGGCTCTGAGGGAGAAGGGGCCCATGAGATGATGTGAGGGGCTCTGAGCTGAGAAGACCGTTGATGACATGATGTCAGGGGCTCTGAGGGAGAAGGGGCCCATGAGATGATGTGAGGGGCTCTGAGCTGAGAAGACCGTTGATGACATGATGTCAGGGGCTCTGAGGGAGAAGGGGCCCATGAGATGATGTGAGGGGCTCAGAGCTGAGAAGACCGTTGATGACATGATGTCAGGGGCTCTGAGGGAGAAGGGGCCCATGAGATGATGTGAGGGGCTCAGAGCTGAGAAGACCGTTGATGAGATGATGTAAGGGGCTCTGAGCTGAGAAAGGCGCCCATGAGATGATGTGAGGGGCTCTGAGGTGAGAAGACCATCGATGACATGATGTGAGGGGCTCAGAGCTGAGAAGGGTGCCCGTGAGATGATGTGAGGGGCTCTGAGGTGAGAAGACCATCGATGACATGATGTGAGGGGCTCAGAGCTGAGAAGGGTGCCCGTGAGATGATGTGAGGGGCTCTGAGGTGAGAAGACCATCGATGACATGATGTGAGGGGCTCAGAGCTGAGAAGGGTGCCCGTGAGATGATGTGAGGGGCTCTGAGCTGAGAAGACCATCAATGAGATGATGTGAGGGGCTCAGAGCTGAGAAGGGTGCCCGTGAGATGATGTGAGTTGCTCTGAGTGAGAAGGGTGCCCATAAGATGATGTGAGGGGCTCTGAGTGAGAAGGGCACCCATGAGATGATGTGAGGGGTGGCCAGTGACAAGGGCATTGATGAGCTGAGTGGCGTTTACTCCAGCTGTCATGTGGCCCTCCACAGCAGCCGAACTCCTTGTAGGTAATAGCACTTGTAGGAAGTAATTTGGGAAATCTCACCTTTATCCCTTCTTTCCATAGTCTGCTACTGACCACCCAAATTACTTTGAGGGGAACATGGTTGTAACCCCACCGTTTTGGTCCATTTGGGCTATAATAACACTATACCTTAGCATGAGTGACTTATAACAACAAAAATTTGATTCTGGTCGTTCTGCATTCTGGAAGTCCAAGATCAAGGCAGTTTTGGTATCTGGTGAGGAACTGTTCTTCCTAGACAGTGCTTTCTCACTGTGTCCCCACATGGCAGAGAAAGGACACTTGCTCTCTGGGGGCTCCTATAAGGACACGAACCCTATTCACGCGGGCTCTACTTTCATGACCTCATCTAACCCAAATTACTTCCAACAGACCCCCATCTCCTAATTCCATCATGTAAGGGGGTAGGGTTTCAACAGACACATTTGAGGCTTTTGAACATTCAGTTAATAACACCCACAAAAGGCTTTCTTAAGGTTCAAGAACATTCATCTTCTTTAACTTATCTGGTCTCTCAGGCAATGCTACATCACTATTCCAGAGAGACTTCTGTTTGAGAAGGCCACCCGACCATAGAAATTATAGTCATGCATCCATTGATGATAGAGATACTTTCTGAAAATTGACTTAGTTTGCCCTACCCTTGAAGAATATCAAGGTTTTATGAAACAGACCGTGGCTAAACAGCCAAAGGGAGTCCTTACATTGTAACCTGCCACTCCTCAACAGGTGGATTCTGTCCCTGGAGAAGGGACTCCACCTTGCACAAGATTTGAGCTCACAGATTCGCACTCTGGCTTGACTTAGCAGATGCACGTATAAAGCTGCACTGTCAGGATCTTGCTAGAGGAGATCAGGGATGCCACTTTTCCAGGCTGCAGTGGGGATGGCAGTCAGACCCTTACTGTGCATTGATCGGGGCTGCAGCACTCACATTTGAGTGATGATGCGGTAGTCAGGTTATCTCCAAATCTGATCCACATTCACAAAGAGGAGCAGCTTAGATGCCACGAGTATTACTACCAATAACATCTTATGCCAATAGAAAAGCTTATTAGAGACTTTTCTTATCCTTATTTTCATATTGATCTTTAAACTGCCCAGTGAAGGAAGTGAAACAAATTTTTTTTTCCCTTTTGCAAAGGTCTGGAGAGATGGAGTGATCTGTCCAGATCTGGGGAAGTAATGAGTAGGCTCAGGGAGAGAGATGGTGAAAAATCACTGCCCTGCTAGTCTCTTGGGTGAGTGAGATTGGGTGAAACAGGTTTTTATGGTAGAAAGCACAATGTAAATAGTAAGATTTTTATGGTTAATTAAGCATTTCAAATAAATCAGGACACTCAGAGAAACATTTTCCATTGCCCCAAATACCAATAGATGTGTTTGTGTTTGTTTTGTTTTAATTCATTTCTGGCTTCTTTAAGAGATATTTAAGGTGGAAGGAAAATACAACTTCATCCTCAGTTTTCAAAACTCTGCAGGTTTATATTAATATAATGAATAGAAAAAAGCTGGAGAAATGGATAAATGGTCTTCAAAGAAAGATGAAGATGCCATAAAAATGGTCCTGTTCCCAACAGTTGTCACCGTGGACGCGGGCTGCAGGGAGGCCCGGACGCCCATCCCAGGTTTCGGCCTCACCCTCAGGCTGATGCAGCGTGCCCAGCGGGGAGCAGCAGGACGGGATCTCCTTGCTGGCGTGCCTGCATCCAGCTGTTTACTGCACGTTAATCCTGAATCTGGGGGGCCATCTGTTTGAAAGATGCTATTCCAAGGTGGCCCCCTTGTGTGGCGGCCCAGGGATGGTGACTCAAGGCTTTGGTTCGGGCAGATCTGAAGGACCTATCGGTTATTTTGTCTACACAGAAGGAAGGTTACAATAAGCTGATGTCATTGTGACGGCCATTGGTCTGTTCCCGTCCGAAAGAATTCATTTTCAGCAGTGGGGGGTATCTGTTAGTTCTTTGTTTATCTTGCAGCTGAATTCTCAGCCAGGTCCATGGAATTTTGAGTCACCAACTTGTGTGCAATAATCCAGAGGATTAAAGAATTCTTTTTTTCTTCTTGATACAAAAAGGTATTTTTTTTAAATTCACAGAGGAGAAACATAATTTAATTTTTGAATATTTTCTTTAACATTTTCAAATACATGTGAAAGAGAGAGGGCTTGGCTGGCTTCAACAATTGAAACAAATGCAGCATCTCTCATATTAAAAGTGTTACATAAAATGTAAGCACAATACTACAAATGCTAATGTAATTTATTCTAATTGAGGAATTACTCTGATTCACTATAACTGTGTATAACTATATATAAATTAATGGTATTTTTAAAAGAGTGTGGTAAAAAGATATATAAATAGGAAACACTAGAAATGATAATATGATATTTATTTAATGACTATTTGATGTGTCGGAACATTTTGATTCTGAATAAATATGAGTTTAGTGTATCAGTAATATATAAATATAGCATCATCAAATATAGCAAAACTAATATAATTCAAATATAATATATAATTATATACAATTATATATTTTATATATAATATATAATTATATTATATACAATTATATATTTTATATATAATATATAATTATATTATATACAATTATATATTTTATATATAATATATAATTATAAATGTATATTATAAGAAATAATTATATATCATTATATGGTATATAATATAATAATTATATAATAACATAATTATAATTCAAATATAGTTCAAATTAAATATAGTCAAATTAATACTTTGATAACAAACTAATTAAAAATAAAAACAAGTCTCAGAGGCTTAAAATACAAAAGAATATTTCTCTGCCACGTTTGGTGAGCAGAATCAATTACTACCTTAATAGCATTATATTTATTAATAAAGAGCCTAAATAATTTTCTTTCATTTTAGAATTACTATTGCATTTCAACTTTCTTATTCAGAAACAATAAATTAGCATGGCAGAGATGGCTAATTGCCTCCTGGTTTGGGGGCATTGGTCTGAACATTTTCCATTTTCTTAATAACAAGACCCCAATTTTATTAACATTTATTTATTAAGGGCTAAGCATGACTGTGTGCTCAGCTACATTTCCTGCCTCTCTTGCAGTTCACAGTGGCCACATGATACAGTTCTGGTCAAGTGAGACTTCTGGGAAAGCCTTTACAAGTGAACAGATTTGTCTAGATTGTCCCTTTTGCCCTTTGCCATAGTCTTTCTTTGAGCCAGGAATGTGGATGTGATGGCTTGAGTGCCAGTAGCCATCTTGCACACATGACACAAAAGCTCACACCCTGTGGACTATGGATGGCTACAAAATCCCTAGAAAGGAGATTTAGAATGAACTAGAGTCCCTAATAACATCTATTGCTTATTTTCTTGTTAGTGAGACATGAACATGTATCTTCTATGAACAACTGTTATGGAATTTTCTGTTAAATACAGCCAAACGCAATTTCCACATGATACAATTAAGACAAGGAATAAACTACTAAGATGATAAAAAAAACATTGTGTTCTTCTTGTATATTTCTTGTTCATGATTATTAAATATTTTCTGAAAATCTTGGATTGCTGAAGGAGAAGCCTCAAAATGAAATTTAACCTTCCATTGTGGGCCAGTGTCCTCTACATTTAGTCTTTTTTCATACTTTTTATGAAATATGTACCACTTACAAAGGAAAATCTGATAGATGATAGGTAGATAGACAAATGATATGTAGGTAGATAGGTAGATAAATAAATAGATGATAGATAAATTATAGATTGATGATAGATGATTGATAGATTGATAGATGATAGATAATAAACAGATAAATGGTAGATGATAGAGAGAGAGAGATAGATGATAGATAGATAAATGATAGATGATAGATGATAGATAGATAATAGATAGATAATACATAATAAATAGATAATAGATAATAGGTAGATAATAGATAGATAGATAGATAATAGATAACAGATAATAGATAATAGATAGATAGATAATAGATGATAGATAGATAATAGATAACAGATAGATAGATAATAGATAGATAATAGAAAGCAGATAGATAGATAATAGATAGATAATAGATAATAGATAACAGATAGATCGATAATAGATAGGGAATAGATAATAGCTATATAGATAGATAATAGATAGATAATAGATAATAGCAGAAAGATAGATAGATAATAGACAATAGATAGATAGATAATAGATAATAGATAGATAATTGATAATAGATAGATAATAGATAAATAGATATTAGATAGATAGATATAGATAGATAATAGATCGATAGATATATAGATGGATAATAGATAGATAATAGATAATAGGTTGTAGACACCTTGGTTCCTTCAGGGCTCCTCCACTATCCTATTCTACTCCATGTCTTCCCGAAGTCGCCATTATCATGGATTTTATGTTTATCATTTTCTTGATATTCTTTTTATGTATGTGTTCTTAAGCAATATTGTTTAGTTTTGCATATATTTTATACAGATGAGATTATGCTGTTTGTATTCTTGTGTAACTTCTTTTTCACCCAACATCGTGTTTCTGAAGCTCATCCACATCGATCTATTTGGCTATAATTGATTGATTTTTCACTGCCATGTAGCGTTCGAAAGTATGAGTATACCAAATATATTTATCCACTCTCTAAACACATTTGAGTTGTCATGTCCAGTTTGGGGTTTTTACAAAGAATATTGCTATGACCATTCTTAAAATGTCTCCTGGAGCACATGTATGAGATTCTACCTGGTGTAAATATTTAGAGAGAGAGTTGCTATGTTGCAGAATTGTCACTGGACTCTGGAAAATTATTTTACAAATGAATTTGTCCCAATTTACACTTCCACCAGCATCACAGAAGACTTTCTGTTGTTCCATATGCTCATCGATAAGTATTCACTCTGCCAAGTGCAGCCTGCCAGGAGTGGGGAAAAGGCTGCCTTGGAACATAGGCCCAGCTGCAGCGTCCATGAGACTACAGTCATTGATGCACTCAGGCCACTTGTCAATCGAGCTTATCAAATCCAATCCACTGATTGGTCTTTCACTAAGGAGTCATGAAAGAAAAATGTGGAAAAGAATTTAATGTAGTGCAAAGAGCCAAGTACTGAACCACAAGTCGCATATTCAAGTTCCCGGTTAATTTATTTTCTTGGGTCTAATTTCCTCGACCTGCTCAATAAGGATGTCACACTTGGATGACTTCTGATCACCCCTGGTGGGGGTCTTCAGCTCTGAAATCTTAAAATACCTTACTTCTATTTTACAAAGCAGAAGAGAGGCTTATATTTGACAAACTGTGAGACTCACTAAGTTTCTGAAAATTTTTTACCACATAATCCCTTAATTTAGACTCTGAATTCTTCCAACTACTGGTTTAAAAATAATAATAACTTTTGCTTGAACTTGGCGACAGGCTTAAATTAAAACTTGTACTTAGTGGTGACTTGGTCATAAACCATTGCTTTATGCTGGAAACACTCAGCTTGCTAACTTATGTTGGGCTTTTTTTTTTTTTTTTACAGAGTCTCACTCTGTCACCCAGGCTGGAGTGCAGTGGCGTGATCTCAGCTCACTGCAACCTCCGCCTCCTGAGTTCAAGTGATTCTCCTGCCTCAGCCTCCTGAGTAGCTGGGATTACAGGTGCACACCATCACGCCTGGCTAATTTTTGTATTTTTAGTAGAGATGGGGTTTCCCCCATGTTAGCCAGGATGGTCTCAAACTCCTGAACTCAGGTGATCTGCCCACCTCGGCCTCCCAGAGTGCTGGTACTTACAATTCAATACAGTTCCATGTTTGCAGGGCTGAATCATTACTTCAGGCAACCCTTGCTGCCAGTGACCCCAGCCTCAGAAGGTCCCTGGACTTGATAATGCTCTGTCGTTCCCATGTGGCACTTCTTAATCCTTTTGAACTAGGGGCCTCAAATTTTCATTTTGCACTGGGCCCCGCAAATTATGTCGCTGGTTCTGGGTGTTTTGTATGTAAAATCACCTCTGTGCAAATTTCTCCATAAAACACAATCACGACAAAACCAAGAGAAAGAGGTAAATTGTTTCTAAGACAAAATGAGCAACGTTTTTGTTGTTTTTTCTTTCTTTTTTCCTTTCTTTAATTGCAGTCCACATGCAGAAATGCTGCTTTGCAGAGTTTGGAAAAGATAGCTTTACCTTTCTCCTCACCCCTGCTCCAGAGAAAAGAGTTCTTCCATAGGTCTGTTCCTAGCCACTTTAAAACAGCAGTTCTGACCAGGTGGCTCACACTTGTAACCCGGCCCTTTGGGAGATGGAGGCAGGAGGATCCCTTGAGACCAGGAGTGTGAGACCAGCCTGGGCAACAAAGCGAGATGCTGCCCCTACAAAAAGCAATTATTTCGCTATTTAGCAGGGCATGATGGGCCTGTAGTCCCAGCTACTCAAGAGACTGAGGTGGGAGGATCGCCTGAGTCCAGGAGGTCCAGGCTGCAGTGAGCCGTGATGAAGCCACTGCTCTCCAGCCTGGGCAATGGAGTGAGACCCTGTCTCAAAAATATTTTTTTAAATAGCCAGCAACTCCTACATCTCCCTACCCACGTACATGTGCTTATAAGAAGGAAAGGGTGAGAGAGGGAGGGTAAAGGGAGGGAGGAGTTAGGGAACTTACATCTGTCATCCCCTCAACACACATGCACACACACAATGCCACACACCAAGAGCTTTCTATCCACGGCATACTTGGGAATTTTCAGCGTGCTCATCATCTGATGGACACTTTATGGGAAGAGGGATTTCATTGCTTCTTTTATAGAGCATTAAAGATTTTTTTAATGTTGCTTCAGTGCTATGTACACTGGGCAAGAAATCTCCAGTGTTTCTGCATTTGTTTTAGCTTCCATTTAAGACTATTCCATTAAATAAAATTTCTTAAAAGCTGCACGTCAGTGTGTTTTGACTTAAAAGAACACGGCAATTCTTTTGATTTTGTTAATATTCCAAAAATAAATATTTGACTCATAAAGGTTAAGGAAAATTCATTCTTGTTTACAGTGGCTGCACATGTCCTATGCTCGTTCCAATTCTGGCAGCCAAGCAGCTGGCCCCTTCCACCGGAGCTCCCCGGCCAGCTGTGTGCCCAAGGTTGCTTGAAAACTGTTAAAAAGCATTTACAAACGTTCATATAGACAGGTGTTCTTGCATAAAGCAAAGCTGCCTTCTAAGAATCTAATAAGAAGGATCACACATTTAACTCCATAAAATAGTCAAAATTAAATGCAGGTAATGAAACAAAAGGGACGCCCAAACAACTTAAACAATAGGCTACTTCTGTGCCAAATCGCCTTTTGCCTCCGTCTCCCAAAGGGCTGGGTCCAGGACGTGGGATGCGCTATGGCCCTACCCAGGGGTACTCTCTGTTGGTCAGATTTCTATACCAGGAACATCTGTGCCTACAGAAAACACCTCCCTTAGGATTCGTAGGTGCTACCAAGTGTGCTAGGAGCTGGAGAAAGGGACTTCTCGTGTAGAAATGCCTCTCGTGCTCATTCACCTTGGTGGAGTATTTCATGGGGATTTCTCCAGCTGCGTGATTGAAATTATAGGGAGAAGCAGCTCTCACTGCCACATCAGGACACAGCCAGCACCAGCACATGCTGGATTCAAGCCAACGTGTTAGAAACACGCAAACTCAGGTCGCTCCATGTCTTGTCAGATCGTGTAACTTGGAATGCCTCTGCGGGAACCATAAGCCACCCACCCTTGAGCAGAAACCGAGAGTAAACATTTAGAAACTTTTCTAGCAAATGTTTAACTTTTTATATTTTGAAATAACTGCAAATTTACTGAAAAGTTGCAAAAGGGGTACAAAGAGCTTCCTTCCTGCTGTGTACTCTTCACCGGGGGGGTCCCTAATTGTTAGCATTTATCTCAATACCGTCACATTCGATGTGTGAGGACGGGGCTGGGTGGTTGTCGTGTACACCTGGGTGTTCCTGAACCAGCCAGTGAGCTGCTCATGTGACGCTGTGTCATCTGTTCTTATTAATACTACACTGTGCATTCCCTACGCACAAGGACATTGTTCTACATAAACTAAGCACAGCGTCAAAATCAAGACATTCACACGGCTCTATACAGCACTGTCACATCAACCCCCATTCAAGTTTCCCCGACGGCACTAATAGTGTTTTTCAAAGGTCCAGAGTGCAATTCAGGGTCACACGTTGCCTGTGGTTTCACAACTCCAATTCCCTTCCATCCGAAACAGTTTCAAAGCCTTTGTCTTTCACGATCTTCACTTTTTAAATACAGGTCTTTCGTTGGATAAAAATGCTCCTTGGTTTGGACTTGTCTCAGGTTTGTCACTTGTGCATTTTGGGCAAGAATCCCTTAGAAATGACCCTGTGCTCTTCTCAGTGTACCACATCTGGGGGCACTGTGTCAGGCTGTTCTTGTGTTGCTATAAAGAAACACCTGAGGCCAGGTGCGGTGGCTCACGCCTGTAATCCCAGCACTTTGGGAGGCCAAGGCAGGAGGATCACCTGAGGTCTGGAGTTTGAGACCAGCCTGGCCAACATGGTGAAACCCTGTCACTACTAAAAATACAAAAAATTAGCTGGGTGTGGCGGTGGGCACCTGTAATCCCAGCTACTCTGGAGGCTGAGGCAGGAGAATCATGGGAACACAGGAGGCAGAGGTTGCAGTGAGCTGAGATTGTGCCATTGCACTCCAGCCTGGGTGACAAGAGTGAAATTCCATCTCAAAAAAAAAAAAGAAAGAAAAGGAAAGAAACACCTAAGGCCAAGTGCGGTGGCTCACGCCTGTTATCCCAGGACTCAGGGAGGCCAAGGCAGGTGGGTCACCTGAGGTCAGGAGTTCGAGAGTAGCCTGGCCAACATGGTGAAACCCTGTCTCTGTTAAAAATACAAAATTAGGCGGGCATGGTGGTTGGCTTCTGTAATCCCAGCTACTCGGGAGGCTGAGGCAGGAGAATTGCTTGAACGGGCGGGGAGCCGGAGGTTTCTGTGAGCCGAAACCCTGCCAATGCACTCCAGCCTGGGCAACAAGAGTGAGACTGTCAAAAACAAACAAACAAACAAACAAAAACAAACAAACAAACAAAAACACCTGAGACTGGGTAATTTATAAATAAGAGGTTTAACTGGCTCATTGGCTCATGGTTCTACAGGCTGTACAGGAAGCATGGTGATCGCTCCACTTCTGGGGACCTCAGGAATCTTCTAATCATGGCAGAGGGAAAAGGGGAGCAGGCATCTCACATGACAGGAGGAGGAGCAAGAGAGAGTTTGAGGGGAGATGCCATCACCTTTAAATGACCACATCTCTTGAACTCAGAGCAAGAACTCACTTATCACCAAGGAGATGACCCAAGCCATTCATGGAGGGATCTGCCCCATGATCCAAACACCTCCCACCGGGCCCCACCTCCAACACGGGGACTCCATTTCAACATGAGATTTGGGCAGGGAGAAATATCGAAACTGTACCAGGCACCCGAGGTTAGTTTGTCCTATTGGTAGGTGAAATTAATTTATCACTTGGTTTAGAGGAGATCTGGTAGGTTTCTCCACTGTGAAGTCAGGTAATGAGTTTCTGATACTCATTAGTTGGTAAGGAATTAATGAGTATTTTGTGGAGAAAAGCTTTGAGACTTCAACAAGAAGGTAGGCTTTTCCCTTCTCTCTCATTTATTCATTCATATCAATGTGAACTCCTGAATTCCTATTTTGCTCAAAGGGTTACAAACTGTAGCGCACTATTATTTTGATGCTTAAGTGTTCCATTTGGTCAGTGGGAGTGACTTTGATCTGGTTCCTGGACTGGTTTAACAAAGCCCACATCACTTTTTGAGCACTTCCATATTTTCTGGCACAAAATAAATTCTCCAAGCTCATCTAGGATTTTCTCTGGCCAACCCTGGAGTCAGCCATCTCTCCAAGGAGCCTTGGTTCCTTTCAGTGGTGTGTGGCATTTAGAACCCAAGCTATGGGTACCAGGTGTGCTCACTGTTGCCAGGGTGTCATTGCTTCCATGCCCTAGCAGCATAGATAGAACCAGGAAATACATGGATATGCACATACATTGTAAATGCATATGTATACATATGCAAGTACATTTTATTTCTACCTATCTATTTTAAACACCATGAGCTGACAACAATACCTGCAATCCCACCCAACACTGTAGGACTTATTTTTACTCATTCCTCTTTCCATATATGTAACTTCCTCCTCCAGCAATGTGAAACATCAACTCTCGTCATCTCAAAGGACTTGTTTATTGTCTGGATTTCACCTGTGTAACAGTCTCTGGCCTAAGCTGGCTAAAAACTAGGCCCACAGGCACACATCCTCTTCCTGGCCAGGTGCAGAGCCAAAGCTCTGACCCATTGAAGGGAAAGGGGAAAGGGAGGGAGAAAGCAAAGGATGGAGGTGGGAGAGAAGAACAGGGAGCAGGGAGGAAGGAGGAAGGAGCTACTGCTGCGGAGCAAGTGGACACAACAGTTTCACGTCTGTGGAATCTCATGACAAAACCATGTGGCTTGTATTTTGGAAGCTTTCATTTTATGTTCTAGTGATTCATGTTACCGTATTTTACAAAATGATTGGTCTGCAAAGGACTTGAAGTAAAAGTCCAACACTAGCTCATCACCACGGGGAGTTTGGAAGCAATGCTCCCATCACACTTCCTTCCTCAAATAAGGAGATTGGCAAAGCCCAGCCTGGGGCTGGCACACATCCTTACGGCAGCTTCTGTGGCAGGAAATGTCTGCTGACCTCTCACCTAATATTACTGTACCATTTACATATTTACTGCACATATTATTATGTTCTCCCTCCCTCCCTCTCGCCTCTCTCTTTCTCTCTGTCTCTCTGTCTCTCTCTCTCTCTCTCTCTGTCTCTCTCTCTCTCTCTCTCTGTCTCTCAGCTAAACCAATGAGGACAGGCATCTCATCTGTTTTTCTCCAGAAAAGCACCTGGGAAAGTACCTGGTGCATAACAGTGGTGCAGTCATTAGCAACCCCCAAGGTACGCTGGAATTCAGATATGTTGGATGTCATGCCTAAGGTCAGCCCAACATTTAATGACAGAGCCTGGAAAGAAGCCCATTGTCCCAGCTCCATAAATGCCTAGACGGGTTCTCTTTCCACTCTTCATCCCCCTCTTAATGCTGGGTCACTCCAGCCATCGGGCTTCCTGCACTGACGCTCAGTCGCTGTCACTGCTTGAGACCAGTTCCCCATTTCCGTAGCTGCAGTTTCATAACTTCAGTGTGAATAACACCATCCTTTCAGGGTCCCTGGAAAAGAAGGACGGCTAATGTAGGTGAAGTCCTTGAACTGGAAGGCACAAATGCTGAACGTACGTGTCTGTGTGCATACAAGTTCATACGGTTATTCTCAAGATCCAAATAATTGTATGAACCTCAGCTAAGACTGACCCCTTAAAACACCTTGTCTTGAGGCAGACCTAGAGGATTGGGCTCCGGAGGCTCCACTGCACCTCCTAGAGATGCATAACTTTTTTGGCTATAAACACGGCAAGGCTACGTTTGCAGCCATGACACATGCATTTACTCCCACTATGCAGGATTCACCTTGATGAGAGAAGCCTAGTTAGAGAGGCCAAGGGAGATGGCTGCCATCTTCCCAAGGCAGGACCTGTCTGCTTGGAAAATGGCACAAGAATCTCCTTGATTCTAAACGGTATCAGGTTTAAGATGCACCACTGATTTAAAGATAACGTTTTGCAGGGTGAGGGGGGTGGGGAGGAAATACCCCTACAATAAGCTTGTACATCAGATAAAGAAGAAATACAATTACAGAGAGATTAAAATGAAGAGCGAGAGAGGCGGGGTGCAGTGGCACATGCCTGTGGTCCCAGCAATTTGGGAGACTGAAGTGAGAGAGAAAGAAAGGAGAAATTGTATCTTCAATAGAAAAAACTACCGTACAGATTCTCCTCCTGGGGAAGTCCACTTCTTTATCCAGAAGTTCACTAACTACCTGCACTGCCACCTGCCCTGCTCTGAACAGCAGCCTGTGGCCCAGGCCTTTGCGCCCTTGTCTATCTCAGGCATGGAAAGAGAATGTAGAGAATGTGAAGCCCTCACCCTTACGTGTGTTGCTCAGCCTAATCTCCCATGTTTTCCTCCTTGCAGTTTTCTTCCTCTGGGGCGAGGAGAAAAAAAAGAGAGCAGGATTCCTCATTCATCCAGTTTGCGGGGAGTGAGTGGGAGGAAGTCTAATGATGGAGGCACAGAACAAACCCACACTCACAGCTGCTTTTAGCCTCCCCGTATCTATACCCACAACACCTCCTTACAGGGCCTAGTGGTCAGTATTCTCAGTGCCTTTCCAGAAACCACACCTGGCCCCAGAGGTATGGCATGGTGCCATCTAACAGCCTAGGTAAGGTCCCCTGAGCACTGCCAAGCAAGAGGCAGTCTGTACAGCCCTAGGGTGTACGGGATTCCTAAGTGCAGGAGATGGTGCAGCTAGGAGTGCAGATGAAAGCCCTCAGCTGCCTGAAGCTCACATGCAGTGGAGGAGGGAATTGGCTGTCCAGGTGATGGAAGTGCAGGTAAGGCAGCTGGAGACAGGTAAGCCATCGTGGAAGCTGCGACCAAGCCCAGGGATAGAGGAGCAGGGCGGGGGGTTGCGGGGAGGGCAGTTCTTGCACACAGCAAAAGGTGGGGGGGCAGAGGGTGACCCCAGAGGCAGGAGAAGGGGTGTACATTCCTGAGCCGTGAACCCTGGGACAGCTGGAACTCAGGATGCAGAGGGAGGGAGATGAGGGATGCTGCAAATCATCTGTTTAGAGAGGAAGTAAGGTAGACTGAGGCCAGACCACATCAGCACGTCCCTTGCCAGGACCTACATTAGGGTAAAATAATACCAGATTTCAGTCATTCCGGGCTTCCAAGCACTTTCTTCAGACGATTCATCATTAACACCCCTAAACATCTTTGCAGAAAATTCAAAAACATGGCCTTCCGGAAATATTTGCTGCTAGACAAATGTAAAAGCCCTAAAGTGCCTATACCAAGGGGAAATGAGAACAGTCAACATCCTCATGTCCCTCCAGAAAGTGTCATCAGCTTCAGGCCCACGGGCACCCAGCTACCTGCAAGCCACCTTCGCACCAAGCTGCGGGCTCTGAAATGCACTCAGCGGAAGATGACCCTGAGTCCTGTGCAGCAAGACAGCAGTTAACTTTATCCCCAGAACTTCCTGCATGAAACTAGCTAAGATAAAGAGCCAACTCGAGTCCTCAGAACACACTGTGAGGGCACCAGGCTGTGTAGACCACCCACTCGGTGCCAACTTCACCCCCACTTCCGTTGAGGCAGGCATGTTTATTGGAAATGTAACACGTTTTTGGTTGGGGGACATTGAGTGCTTTTGAGTGATTTTCATTAGAGTATAAGGTATCTTGATTAAAGCATTTAGTTAAAATGCTTTCATGCTGTGTCTCTTGTAAAAAAAAAAAAAAAAAAGCCCGTAAGGTCTCAGGACCCACAAGGACAAGGTTGCAGTTTGTTTATCAAAAGCTTTCCCCTCCTAAGCAGAAGAAATGCCAACCCTTCACAAATGCTGTTTTGTTAGTAATTCATATCTGCCATATCCTTATAAGGGGAAAGAGAAAATATGATCTTTATATGTTTTATTTTTTAAACTGACAAATAGTAACTCTACATATTCATGGGGTACATAGTAATGTTTCCATACATATAAGATATGGTGGTCAGATTAGGGTAACCAGCATATCCATCAGATCAAACACTTATCACTTCTTTGAGTTGGGAACATTCCATATCCTCCTTCTAGCTATTGAAACTGTATATTATTGTTAACTGCAGTCATCCTATGGTGCCACAGAACACTAGAACTTTTTCCTCCTATACCTTGCAATTTTGTATCATCTTTGTGTTTTATCACTGCTAAAATGCAGGGACCCCGTGACATGGATTGGGGAAAGAGTCAGAATTTGAGCCCAGGGGTGTGGTGGCTCACGCCTGTAATCCCAGCACTTTGAGGGGCCGAGGCAGGCGGATCACGAGGTCAGGAGTTCGAGACCAGCCTGGCCAACACGGTGAAACCCCATCTCTACTAAAAATGCAAAAAAAAATTAGCCAAGCATGGTGGTGCACACCTGTAATCCCAGCTACTTGGTAGGCTGAGGCAGGAGAATTGCTTGAACCTGGGAGGCGGAGGCTGCAGTGAGCTGAGATTGTGCCACTGCACTCCAGCCTGGGTGACAGAGGAAGCCTCTGTCTTGGGAAAAAAAAAAAAAAAAGAAGAAGAACTGGAGCCCAAGGAACAATGCTTGATACATTAAAGTCTGTTCTTCAAACGATGTCCCTGGAACCCACGCTAGCACAGGAAGACAAGAATTGGAAAGGCACCGGGGCCTTGGCCTTGTTGGATGCAACAGCTGAATCTGTTTGCAGCATGCACAGGCCTGTAGGGGGCACACCGCAGGTGAATTTTTAGTGGAGGTGGTGGTAGTGGTGATGATTACGCTGATGATGATACTGATGGAGACTGTGGGGATGGTGATTATAGACTGATGTCACCTAGCCCAAAGTAGCTTTCTGAAACAGTATCAAGTTAGCATCAAGAAATGAGTTTGGTGTGGAGGCACTTCCACTGGCCCACCACACGTGGGAGAATTAAGTAACACAACCACATGGGAAGGAGCCGTGTAGCAGCCTCACACAAGTTGCTTGCACCTTCCTCATTCCAGCGGTATCATTTGCATCTCGGCCACTTGCCTGCCAGCGAGTCGTACAATGTCTAGGGCATCTTTTGCATGGTTGTCCTGGATTGCTATTTAACTCCCAGGGTGATATAAATGTCCCTATACGCATGTATTAGATGTCCAGCTAAACAGTATAATGTTTCAGAGTAGGAGCGTGTCCTTTTCCTCCCCAGAGGCTGCTTCCTACCTGAGTCGGGGCCCGGCCTAACGTGGGGGCAGTAAATACTGGATGAATGGACACTCACTGGTTAGAGAGGCAGCCCAGCCCACGCCTGCGGCTAAGAGGTAGATATGGCCCCAGGAGGAGGCCAGGGCTGGGCAGGCAAACTGGCAGCCCTGGCATCAAGCACTCGCTTGTTTGGAGTGTGCTGGGGGCACAGGCCCCGCACCAGACCCCACTAGCCTCCAGAGACTCACTGTGGGGACAGAGGAAGAAAGGGCTCTGCCCGTCCTTCTTCAGGATGGCACAGGTACCAGCAGGCTTCAACAGCTCCATGGTGCTGGGCAGATGCGCTGGGACACAGAGATGTGCTCCAGGGCCGCGTGCAGGGAGCAGCAGATGGCTTTAGACAGCTGCCCCAGGCCCGTTGGTCTCTACGAAAATATCTCAGGACTTTCATAGCTTGTTTTTTTCCTATGAAATTTCTTTCTTCTCATTTCTGTTAACTTTGCTAGTTAAACTGTCAGGCCAATTTTGAAAGGGAATAAAATCTTTGTCCCTCCTCCCATCCTGAAGCCAAAATCTATTTTGGTTCATATAAAAATGATCAAATTACACCTTTTGGCATGTTCCTTAACTAGGAAAAAATAACTTGGATTAACTAGTGCCAATAAACTAAGTATTTTCAATTAAATTCTAACATTAGTAAAAATATCAGTCATACCACTCTAAATCCTAACCAACTTTAAAACAGTATGTGTAACCCTCAAAGCAGCTGTCTGCAAAAACAGCTTCTATTACTCATATCAAACTCTGGGCAATAAAAGGAGTTGCTTGAGGGACTCCAGCAAGGGCACATGTCCGGCGCAAAGACAGAGCCCGGGCACGTCTGGGCTTTCCATAATAGGCCATTTATGCCAAAGACAAAAAAACTTCACTTTCCCTAGTTTCTGTCCATCAGAATCCAGCTGCCTCCCAGAGCGTTCTCAGGGTCCCGCAGATGGGTGGCAGGTGGGGGTCCCACTGTGGCTGGAGGCGGATAAAGCAAACCCTCTGGAGAGGTCTGGCACAGGACATTCCTGCTGTGCACACTCTGCCCATCAGCGTTTGTTCATGTTCAAGTCCCAACATGAGGGCACAGAAGGCCCAGTGAGTCTGCGCTCCCACGCTAGGCGCTGTCCCGTAACCCCTCTGCAGCCTGTAGCGGGGCTCTGGTGGTGCATGGAGCTCTGGGGGCTCACAGGGCTCTGGTGGCACGTGGGGATCGTGGCACACGTACGTTGTGCCACCGTGTCTCAGAACCCTCCTGATCATTTGTGGGACCTGCCCATGGTACTCCTCAGCTCATCTGCACTAAGCTAGGGGCCTTACTCTTCTCATGTGAGTGGGGTACCTGGCTAAATCCCCATTATCCACTGCTTCATTCAAGAAACCTCCATGGAGCATCTGAAGGCCAGGCAAAGTGCCAGACACACAATTCTCAAGGTTGATTGAATACCATCCTGACCCAAAGGTATTCATGGTCTAATGGGACAGACATACCTCAACAGATTATCCCAGGGCAGCCCAGTAAGTGCCCCCAAAGTGTGTGCAGGACATAACCACGGGAATACAGATGGGCACCTATCCCAGGAAGAGGAGGATGTGCAGACGAAGGCTCAGCAGCTGCAAACAGGAACTGAGCAAAAGCGCACATAAGTTGGACAAACTGCATCTGCGCGCATAGAAGACAGAGGACGGGCGTCTCCATAGCCAATATCAGCAGCATCTGCATGGCACAAAATAAACATACGGAAGTCATTAGTCATTATCTGTTTAAGTTTTAGGATAAAGATTATGTGCTTACATTAAGATCACATTAGTTTGTAAAGGCTATTAATTTAAGATTGCTTGCATTAAAACTGATTTCAGTTTTCAAACCAAAAGGATGGGGAATAGGCAAATTTATATTCAACTTTTCTAAACTGTGCAGAATATATTCACTTCAACAAACAATTAACCTTCATTTTATGAGTGTAAACAGTTCAACTAATTCTTCTTTGACAGTTGTGGAATTTTTTATTCTAATGAATCGATTTCATATGTTAAAATGAAAATAAAATATTTTTGCTTAGAAACAGTTTTCAACTAATTCTTCTTTGACAATTGTGGAATTTTTTATTCTAATGAATCAATTTCATATGTTAAAATGAAAATAAAATATTTTTGCTTAGAAACAGTTTTCAAAACTGACCAGCATTTTGCAGGGTGGTTAGCAAGCTGGATGATACGATACTTGAATACTCCTGAAAAAAACTAATAAAATGCAAGATTCAACATTTACTTTCAGTTGTCAAATGACTGTATTAGTCACGGTCCAGTCAGGAACACTGAAGTCACACAAGTCCATTCGACAGAGGGAATTTAATACAGACACTTTGTTATGTAGGTGTTGGAGCTTAAGAGGCCAACATGGAAGCCCTTGGTAACCCAGATGTCATAACTGCAAGGAGAAAATACTACCCTGGGCTGTGGACACAGAGAAAAGACACTGGGGTGATGATCAGTACCACCGAGCTCATAGGAGGGGGCCCTGCAGAGCTGGGACTCGGCCCTCGAGGAGGGGCATGGTTTGGGTGGCAGCACTGGCACATTAGGGGGGCCATGATGACTGGTCTGGCAACCTGGCAGAAAAGCTCTCGAACACAGCTGGCCACCACTGCCAGGGCTTTGGGAGTGGTGCTGAAGGGAGCAACTGGCCAAAGAAAGCAGAAAATCCCTTCGCTGTCCTCCAGAATTGCAGCTTCCCCTTCGTGGAGTGGCTTTGAAGTTGAAAGACAGGAGCTTAATAACTTGCGCAATGGTTTAAGATACAATATCCATCAAGATCTAAAGAAAAACAAGAGAATACTTATCACTTCATGGCAACGTGGCCTCCTTCCCAACAGTAAACTTCAAAATTCTTTACGGAAAGGTTTCTTGAGGGTGAGAAACCAAGGATGACAAGAGACAGAACCTAATTCCTGTTCTCAGATGAAGGCTCCTGATTTTAGATGTATCTTCACAGAAAGCCCACGTCGTTCATCTCTGCAACCTGCTTGACATTCGGCATGTGTTGGGCACACAGTGAGTGTGGCTGATCCCGCCTGGCCTTCGCCTCTTCTCAGGTACTCACAGGTAAATTCTCCTGCCCAGGCCTCCTGCACTTTGTGTGGGGCCACGTGAGACGAAAGCAGAGTGTGAGCAGAAGGACGTGATGTATGTCAGTTCCCAACCAGCCGTAAGATCTCCTGGGTGCCATCCCCATTTCTCCCTTCTTCTTTCACATGTGGTTGTGATGTCACCACGTGGAAGGGGTCACACGAGGAGCAACACATCGCCCCCACCCGCCACCAGCAGCATGAGAAGCTACTGAAATGTTGAGATTTATTTATCACAGCTTAAGGCAATATACTCTAACCCAGTGGATACTCAATGGCAGTTCACTAAATTTTGTGAATATTTTAATTATGAAATGCAGGTGTAACTTTACTCATAACTACTCATAGAAATAGAATCACAATTCAGGGATTTGTTCATGAATGATCTAAATGCAGGAGGTGCTGCGTTCTCCCCATGCTTTAGAATCTAGAACAACTGGTTTGAAAATCATTATTCACATCTCATTCTTTCTAATGGAACTGACCCAGGGTCACATGGCAAGCTAGTGACAGAGGTGGAAACTGCATTCACATCTCCTAATGCAGAGTCAATTGCTCTGTAAGTGAAGTGCCGGTAAATTCAGGCCCCTGTTTCTGTGGATGTTCTTCCTCCTTAGCGGCTGCTACTGTCTGTGTTGTCAGTGCTGACACAAGCCAGTGGGGCGGGGAACCACAAAGGTGAGGGTATTGAGTGGTGAGGGGGGAAAAGTCAAGCAGCAAGCATCAGCAAAGGCCAAGGGCCCAGAGAGAAAAAGAAGAAAGGCTTTCTTGAATTGGAAGAGTCTCTGGGTCTTTAAAATGGCCGGGGGCAGAGCCTCAAGCCTGTAATCCCAGCACTTTGGGAGGCCAAGGTGGGCAGATCATTGGAGGTCAGGAGTTCGAGACCAGCCTGGCCAACATGACAAAACCCCGTCTCTAATAAAAATACAAAAATTAGCTGGGCGTGGTGGCGGGTGCCTGCAATCCCAACTACATGGGAAGCTGAAGCAGGAGAATCACTTGAACCTGGGAGGTGGAGGTTGCAGTGAGCCGAGGTTGCACCACTGCACTCCAGCCTGGGTGACAGAGTAAGACTCTGTCTCTAAATAAATAAATAAATAAATAAGTAAAATAACCTGACAGTCACTTTAGAGCATGTTACGCCTAATGGAAAGGATACTGCTAATCGCATTTGCAGAAGTAAAGCAGCAAAGGATTAGAAAACGCAGTATAGAATACATTTCCTTTTATGTTCATTTCAAATAGTTTTCTTTCCTGAGCACGCTCTGGTAGGAGTGACTATTGTGTAGGAACAGGACAGGCCTACGCAAGGGATCTCTGACCTCCTGCACATAGACTGGAGTTAATGAACTTAAGATACCCTTCAGCATGAGCCTCACTCAGGGTACAACAAACTTTTTCTGTAAAGGGCCAGATATTAAATATTTTGGGCCTTGTGGGTCAGAAGGTATCTGTCTCGACTACTCAAGTCTACCATTGTAGAGACAGCAGCCATCAAAGCAGCCACTGACAAAATGTAAACAAGTGAGCTTGGCTGGGTTCCTATAAAACTTCATTCACAAAACAGGCAGCAGGATGAATTTGGTCTGAGAGCCATAGTTTGTGACCCTTAGTATAGCTCATTAACCTGATGAAACCCCAGAGCTTCTAGGAGCTTGCCATAATCACAAATACAAAGCTATATAATAAAGTCCTAGCTTCTCTTTCTGATCATGTAATTGAGTATGGCCACTGGGGCTCGGAGAGCATTGATACCTCACACAACACCTCAGTCCTCCAAGGAAAATAGCTTAGAATGCACGTACCACTCATGTGCGTGGGTCTAATTCTGGAAGGTGGCTGGCTGGATGTGAGAAGTTTTCTGCTTCCCAAGTTGGATAGCAGAGGTAGGGCTCTTCTGATTGGAATTAACTATGTCCTTTTGTCAGCAGGGCACTCTTGTAGTTACAACAGTAGAATCTCACCTTTCCGGGAAGACTCTGCAATACCCAGCCCTGGTCACCTGCCGCGTACCTTGGGTGACTGAACGGTCCCTCACACGTCCCACTGAAGCATGATGCCTGCTGGTTGAGGGAAACTGGGAGCCTGATGCTTTTGCTGTCTTCTGCTTTGTACGGATTTCATACACAGCAAACCTACTATGAGAACACACTCTTTAAAAACAAGTGCAAACTGTCAATAAAAGGTCCTCTCTTTCAAGTCCTCGGAGGTTCGATGACTGAGCAAAGACAGTTTGGGAGCATCATTGTGCATTAAACATGCCCTTGCTGGGGATGGGAAATTGATGCTATTTTATAAATTAGTTGTTATTAATTATAATTAAATGAGAAAATGAAGTTATACAACTTTTTATTAATTACTTTAAGTAAAGAAACAATTATTTATGGAAGTATCAATGATAATAGCAAAGCCATTCATTAGCTTGATTCCAACAAGCATGCCCAGCATCTCATATTGCCCTTAAAGGAAGACTCTTCCTTCCTCACGTGTGTCCATGTAAGGATGTTCACCTAACCTTCAAATTCTAGCTCAAGTTCTTTCTAATTTTGGAAATGCCCTACGGCCTCGATGTTGCCAGAGCTCTGTGAATTGTAACTTAAAATACGCTTGTCCAGCATACCTCCCTGAGCACATTCCACATTGGAATTTCATCTAGGGGATTCTTGGGGCAGCCTAAGAAGGTCCTGCCCGGGTTTGGGAACGCTTGTCAGGACTGGTGTGTGGCTAGTAAAGGTCTCAAAGGCTGCGGCTGCGGAGTCCGTTTCTCAGGAGGCTGCCCTGAGAGCCAGGCCTGAGCGTGGAGGGCCCGCCCGTTCGCAGCAGAGTCCTTGTCACTGTAGGCAGCGCCATGCACAGGGCAGGACAGATGGTTTTCCTCCGCCACGCACCAAGGCTGCCCTTGGCTAGGTCCTGGTGCTGGGACCTGCCACCAGCACCCAGCGCGGGATGGCTGTGCGCAAACGCGCTGGGGAGAAGGCGCCCCTACACTTGGGTCCCCTCTGCTGGTGGTGCTGGCCGCACAGACGCGCTCTGGTGGCTAAAACAAAGTTGGGACAAAATGGGCTGTGAGGAATGCGCGGAGAAATCCTCCTGCCCCTGCAAGCAAGCCGCCTCCCACTTGACGTCACTGGTCCGTGGTGGGGCGCGCAGAGCCAGACGCCAGGCAGGTGCACAGGACCCGCACTAGTCCGCCTCCAGCTGTGGCGCGGGGGTGGTGGATTTTGACCGTTGGGCCTTGAAACGTGTTTGCCTCTTTCTCATCAGAAACAATTCCTTGTTCTAGAGTATTCTCTGTAACAGGGAGCTGCAATTCTTTTTTTCTGTAAATATCCAGAGAGTAAATATTTTTGGCTTTGTGGTCCATAGTGTTCTGTCGCAACTGCCAAGCCACAGACAATGTGTAAACGACTGGACAGAGCTGTTTTCCAAAAAGAACTTTATTTACAAATATAGGCAGTGGATGGACGAGTGAGTAAACAATTTTAAAAAATGGAATATTATTCAGCCTTAAAAAGGATGGAAATTCTGACCCATGCTACAACATGGATGAACTTTGCATATGTTACTCTAAGTGTAATAACCCAGGCACAAAAGAGGAAACACTGTGTGATTCCACTCATGTGAGGCACTCACATGGTATCAAACTCACAGGGACAGAAGAATGGGGTTGCCAGGGGCTGTGAGGGGAGAACGAGGAGTTCTCATTTAATGGGTACAGTCTCAGCCTGGGAAGAGAAGGTTCTGGAGATGGAAGGCGGTGATGCTGTCCAACAGCGTGAATGTATTCATCGCCAGTGAACTGCATGCGTTGGAATGGTAACGTTTATGTTGGGTGTATTTTACCACAAATGTAAACCGGCTGTGGGTGACTCTGCTCTATACTCCTGAAGGGTAATGCACTTAGGAAACACAGAAATATTAAATTTTTCACTCAGCAGATAGTCCCAGTGTTTCAACAGCATTATTCCTCTAGGGTATGGAGGGTGGGGACAAGGGGAGCAATGTGCAGTGTGGTCCCTGTTTTACTGGGGACAACAGAAAGCAGTCATAAGAATTTCTTGGATTTTTCAAGAAATTCAGAAAAGAAGATAAAGGACAAATTTACTTCTTGGAGGGAATGGGGTCATCATTTTTTTCTCAAAGACAGTCCATTGTAAACCTGTTTGAACACATAAATTGTTCTCAGTGCCTAAGAATATTTCCCAAGGGGCTGAGCGCGGTGGCTCACGCCTGTAACCCCAGCACTTTGGGAGGCCAAGGTGGGTGGATCACATGGTCAGGAGATCAAGACCATCTTGGCTAACACGGTGAAACCCCATCTCTACTAAAAATACGAAAAACTGGCCAGGATTGGTGGCAGACACCTGTAGTCCCAGCTACTCAGGAGGCTGAAGCAGGAGAATCGCTTGAACCCAGGAGGCAGAGGTTGCCGTGAGCCGAGGTTGTGCCACTGTGCTCCAGCCTGGGCGACGGAGTTGAAACTCCATCTGAAATAAATAAATAAATAAATAAATAAATAAATAAATAAATAAATAAATAATAAATGAAATAATATAATATATTTCCCAAGGAACTCATGTAACAGAAAATTTAATTCGGTTCAGACAGCCACGTTACGTTAGTCTACAAAATTCAGGAGAATGTCCTCAGTCAGTCCTTAGGGATTGAATTGTTTCCTCCCAAAATTAATATGTTGGAGCCCTAAACCCCAATGTGATGGTATTTGGAGAAGGGTCCCTTGTAGGTAATTAGGTTTAGATGATGTCATGGGGATGGAGTCCTTGTGATGGGACCTTAGAAGATGAAACCAGAGAGCTTGTGCATGTGTGCACTTTCTCCCTCTCTCCTCTCTCTCTCTTCCACACACACACACACACACACACACACACACACACACACACTCTCTCTCACACTCTCTCTCTCTCTCTCTGCCATGTAAGGACATAATGAGAAGGTGGTCTGTCTGAAACCCAAGAGAGGTCTCACAAAATCTGAACCTGCTGGGACTTTGTTCTGCTACTTCCAGCCTCCAGAACTGGGAGGAATAAATGTCTGTTGTTTAAGCCCCTCGGTCTGTGGTATTTTGTTACAGCAGCCTGAGCTAAGTTTATCACATGTATGTATATGTGTGTGCATAGGTCCTGTAGATATAATCACCTATACATCATGTATGTATGTATGTATGTGAACACACACACAAGCACACATACCATTAAATGGTATTGAATCAACCTATGTAGATGTGCAGGCATGGAGAGAGGGAGGGAGCACAAGTCCAAGGCCCCTCCATAGATACTAAATTTTCAGTAATTTTAAACGTTCTCATGGAATATGGAAACTTATAACCCAAGAGCAGGAAATTCTCTGTGGGTTCAGGAAAGAATAGAACAGGGAGTGGCCCAACAATGATACCTTTTCTTTGCCCTTCTAAGGTGTGGACTGAAGTTTGATTTGGTTAAGAAACACCCACGAGGAAATGGCAGGGGTTGGTTAGGTGACACAATCTCATTTCCTCTCCTTACATAAACTCATGAGCAGAAACACTGATTCGAGGTTTTGCTCGCAATCTAACATTATATTTCATTTTGTTCCTGTTCTCCAGCAGGGCTTGCTTTATGGAGAGCTCAGTGAGAAGGGTGCTGGGAGTCATTCATTGATATATCACATAAACCTAAAAATATTCCATCACCACCCCTCGGCCGGCTTTGAACCTGTGAACTTGTGGCACAAGGCCTGGGGTCCTGTTGGCAACCCCACTTTATCATCTCATCCGGAACCTCCATCACACCCACCTCCCAGTGTCCCCAACTTTTCATTCCAATCCTTTAAAAAAATGGTTATGTTACATCCTGATTCCACTGTATATCTACAAATAATATTGCTAGGTTTGTAGATATTTTCATCCCTAATAACTTTATGGTGTTTACTTAACCTTGCTTTGATACTGCTATTGACTTTGGAGTTACAATTACTACCACTAAATGAGAATGCTTGATGATAGATGGAGGCAGGTTGACCAACCACTATGTGGGAAAGAGTGCAATGGCCGTCATTAGAAACCAAATGGCACAGAACAATCTTAATTAGACATGACTAACATCAGCTGCCCCTGTTCTCAGGGTGATTAAGGCCCAGAGTTAAAAAAAAAATACTGAAAGTCACATTACCTTGTTTGATCTTGAGAAGGGTGGGGCTGTCACATTTGCCTCTAAGAGCTTTCCTGTCTCATTTTAAAATGAGTTTGGCTTTGGTTTAGGATTAAGCAGCCGGATGTTTTCTGCCTGTTTGGAGAAGTCGTTCTACCAGGTTTATGACCAACACCACCGAGAGGTAAAAGTGATCAGTTAGATGTTTGGATAGCTCAGGATAACGATTTGCTCTTCCTCACTGTTGAAGGCCAAACCCTTCTTAATTAAAAAGAAGCAGGCAGGGAACTGTGCTGCATGGCTCTTTCACTGAAATGGAATTAGCTTTAATGAAGACCCCATGACAGTGGCCCAAATGCTAACATAAGGGTGGTAATTATTTGTTTTTAACCCTCTAATGTGTAAGTAATCCTGAAACAAAGGCAAGGCACTCAACAAACCTCACTGAAAAAAAAGCCATACTTCAGAGGAATTCTGCTGAGACTCCTCCGAAAGTCCAGAACTCTCTTCCCCTGTGTCCCATCTCAGCAATTCTATGCACCACCAGCAATCAGCCACCATCCCTCCCCAGACCTCTCCTAACCTGCACCTCCCTACCCCGCCCTCCTTCCCCAGTGCCCTATTTTCAGTGTTCTACTGAACTTCTTCATCTCAGTTCCCAGCCCAGGCCCCAGACTTAGATGACCAGAAGCACCGTTAGCATCTCTGCCCTCACCTTCCCGTTCTTCGTTACCTAAGTCAACCAGGATTCACCTGGCTGTCTCCTTTCACTCCTCTCTCTTTCGGCTTCTAAAGCTCATCAGTGCTGGTGGTGTTTGATTTTTATTCTGTCTTGTTTTTCCATTCCTGTTGTCACTTTCTGATGGTGAACATGCCTCCCCACTTCTTCCTGAACTGCTGGAATAATCCGCTTGGTAGTCCAGTCTCCCACATAACCACGCTCCAAGCTGCTGCCAGGGTGACTGTCATCATGCACAGCTTAACTGTGTTTCTCTGCGGGTCGAAAGCTCCCAAAGTCCCCAGAAAAGTGCAAACCACTGATGGAAACCATCTGGTTCTCTGCCAAAGCCCCAACCCCAAGTCCCTTAGCACCTTGACACACTTTCATCGAAGTGGACTGTAGAAGTCTTGTCTCAGCTTACAGCAGCACAGCCTGTGGGGGTTCCTAGTGGACCACTGCTCAGAGCACAGAATTTAGAATGAGAATCGGCTTCCAAACCTCACTCCACCACTTCCTAGGTTTGAGATTCCGCTTTGGCAAACCCTCCAACTTCTCTGAAACTGTTTCCTCAAACGTGGAATTCATCATAATCTGTATGTATTTTTAAGCATGTGTTGTAAAAGTGAAATTAAATGCTTAAAACTTAAACAGCAATTTACTAGTGGAAAGAAGTATTTTTTGGGGGTCTTTGGAAGCTAAGCCAGAGGTCTTCATTAAGTTGAGAAAGCCATTGGCCAAAAGCAAACTCTGGACGAAAAGACAGTCTCAATAGAGGAACTGAGGAACAGAAGATGGTCTGATGGAGCAACAGATTTAGATAGCAGCTTCCGTCTGCTAGGGGAGAGCATGCAATGAGAGACCACGTTGTCCCCCTGGTAACTGCTGTGTTTGCAGATGAAGAATCTCACCTCTAAAAGGGGCTGCATGTCATCATGCCTGATCATAGTCATTCATCCTCTTGTTTTATTCATTGTAGTAGGAAGACCAACAATTCATGGACTCTAAAGTGCTTTCAGAATCTCAAAGATCAATGGCATTAAACCTTAAGATTAATTAATTAATTAATCTTGATTTCAATTAATCCACATTAATTGAAATAATTGTGGATATGGAGTGGAAGAAAAAACCTAAACCTTCCTGGTCTCCTATTATCTGGAACAGACTTTATATGGAGAAGCTCCCTTTTCCCTGCAAGCCCCCCATGAACAGGCCCCATCCCCATCTTCCAGGACAGAGAGTGACCAGGGAGCGGCAACAAGCACCCGGCCTCCCTGAGGTGGCTCGTGGCTCTTCGGCTTCAGGGTGCTGTTGCTGTGCTCCTGCTCCCCTCCATAAACAATCGCCTTAATACATCTCCTCCTATCTTAGTGAATTACTCTCTGGGGCTCAGGTGGGGACATGGAGGGAAGCCCTTCTGTTGGAACTGGCAGTAGCAGTTGTTTAAACGTAAAGGAGGACTTCCTCATCATGGGTTGCTTTTTTTCATTTGCAAATTACATCCACATTTATTCATAAAGGAAAAGATAAACAGAGTCCCAGCAGAGCATCTGAGCTGAAGCTGGCCCTCGCCGACGCCCCCGGCTTTCGGGTCCCCCACGCACTGGCATGACCGGCCCTGCTTGTCGCATCCTGGCTCTCTCTGTTCTGTCCTTGGCAGCCCAGATTTGGAGGTCAAGAAAAACAGGAAGGTCTGCTGGAGGCACGGGAAGCACATAGGCTGGCAGAGGGCAGAGGCCACAACCTGGGTGGGCCCACACTGAGGGCACAGTTTCCCAGTGGAGGCAAATGACCACAGGCTGCGACCCAGGCTTCCTGCCTAAGAGTAGGACAGGCACAGAGCTCTCTCACACAGCTTGTGTTTGGTGTCAAGGCTTTCTTATTTTTACATTTCTGTATTTTCCAAAAATAAGTGTTCTAAAGTTCTTATCATAAGAAAAACTAATTAAATATGAAATATATTTGAAATCAAAATAGGGCTTTCATATAACAAAAGTCAACATAATAACATAGTACACAGATACATATTTAATAATATAAAAACTTCATAAATAAAAAAGAAAATAGAATGCTTCAAAGCATCTTACATATTATTGAACATCTAGTGCATACGTCATCTTGCCCACGAAATCTTAGTGGCTCGAACACGTGCAGTACTTGAGAGACAGCGCTAATGTAGAATACAATGCACTTCCATGCATATTATCATAGAATCCACTGTATCTCTGGGAGAAGAAAAGTGACGACTATCGTTCCCCAATTTTACCCCCAAGACAATGGGCTCAGAGAGCTGATGCAATGCACAAAAGCAGCCAGCATCCAGGGCTTCTAACGCTACTCTGGGCCTGGCCAGGATAGGTAACGCCTTCCATGACTGTCTTTGGTAAAATAAATTTCTCCCTCATATATACAAACTGTCCAGAAAGAAAACAAAGATACGTAAATAACTGCTAAAGTCAGTTGCTTAAGAAAGTTATGTGTGATAAAAAGCAAACAAACAAACAAACCAGCTCCAGGAAGACGGCTGTTTCCTTGGGGTAATAGGCAGCTATTCGGAGCTCTGCGACACTGGCTGGCTCGCCTGCTGCACTGTGGCTGCTGCCACTCCAGAATTGAGCAGGGCCACCGGGCCACAGTGGTAACTACACACATTGTTGGAATGAATGAATGAATGAGTGAATGAATGACACTAAAAATAAGCAGAGTTGCCTAAAACAGGCAGACATGATGATACCCTGTCTGTGTTTTCTTAGGCATATTCTTGCCTTCTGTGAATTCTGTATGAGAATTTTTAACACAATGCTTTCTTTTCATCTAACATTTACTGTTTGCAGTGAGAGTGACCCTTTAGGATCACCCAGCTCATCTGGGCTTGCCTGGGACCGTCCCTTGTCCCTGGAAACAACTCCATCCCAGACAAACAGGGACAATTAATCACCCTACATCTAGATGGCTTCTTCAAGACAAAAATACAGTGTCAAGAATTCACAGCCTGAATTTGTCTGTGCTTAAGGTCTTGTAGCCACTTAGAGTGGCAGTGTGACCTCTGAGTGCAGTGTATTTTAAAACCGGGGAGATTCCTTTCGGTGGTCCCCGCTCTTTTGACTCTAAAAGGCACAGTACTCAGTGAGGGGTGGGGCAGTGGGCAGGAGCAGGAGGGTTTGATTTCAGCCCCTCACCCAGACCACATTGTCCCCTTCTGCAAAACCGAGGCCTTCATCCCAGCCAGGAGTTTCTTAAATTCCTTCCAAATACCCAACTCGCTGCACTGATGAAGTCAGCTTTCTGGCTGCATGGGAACCCCTTCTCACCTCCTACCCTGAACTTTGGAAAAGTTATGTCTTCTTCATCCCTAGCACTGCCTCTGCCATGAAACCTTTCTGGGCCTTCCCAAACATCCGATTACTTTGAGAACGGCTTGTCCACTCCCAACCCCTAACATGGACCCACGTCCCTCCACCTGGGTGGACCTTATGGAAATGGAACCTCTTCGGCATCAATTTCCCCACTTGTTAAACGAGGGAGATGCCCATCAAAAATGACTTTATGAGGATTCCATCCCCACCATTCCACTGAAGTTGAAAACATCTTTTTCCTTAAATGTGAGCCATTTGTTGCTTCTGTTGCTTTACTTAAGCTATTTCTTGTGCAAATAAAACAGTACTCTATGCAAAACCTTCTTCACTATGATGAACACAGACTACTCAGTGGAGTGTTAGTACATAGTAACTCCTCCATAATTCTGTGTTGGTCCTTCTCCTTCTGCACACATGGAATCAGAAGAATGTAGAGGGGCCCAGTCTGGAGCTGTATGTGACCTGGGCAGTATTATTTGAATTCAGAATCTATTCTCCAAAGTATCTAATCTGAAATCTTGTGCCTAAGGAGACTTGAGCACCAGTAAGAGTTTGATTTTGAACGTGGAAAAACTCAAAACTGTTTTTTCTCTGCTCTCACACCAAAACAACAACCAACAACACAGAAGGCTTCTGTGAGTAAGTGTAGGTGATTTCTCTCCACCAATAAATAAGCAATCAACCTGCTGCTGACACCATGGGTGCCCTCCAATTCAATTCTGACACCCTCCACCTGGAGACAGTGTCACGTCCCACAGGGTGAGGTTCAATACCACAAGACTGCCCCCTCCTCCTTAAACACCAGTCTCAAGTTCGGGTCTCTGAACTTCTGACAAACTGGCTTCAAGTTGGGGTTCCCATGACCCCCTGTTTGGGTTTGGTTAATTTGCTGGAGTGGCTCACAGAACTCAGGGAAACATGTTTTCCAGCTTATTATGAAGAATGTTTTAAAAGATGGAAGTAAACAGCCAGATGAAGAGATACCCAGGGAGGTCTGGAAGTGTACCAAGCGCAGTAGTTTTTGTCTCTGTGAAATTGAGGTGTGCTACCCTCCCAGCACGTGGATGAGCTCTTGTTCACCTTCCTGTCAGCCCCCATACGTTCAGCTATCTGGAAGCTCTCCAAATCCTATTCTTTTGGGTTTCTATGGAGGCTTCATTATGTGGCCATGAGTGGTTAAGCCATTGGTCATGGTCGATCAACCCTGGAGGCTGCATGGGGTGAGGAGGTCTAAAAGTTCCAATCCTGCCTTGGTCTTTCTGGTGGTCAGCCCCATCCTGAAGGTACCTAGGGCCTGCTGTCATTAGCATACAAAAGACATTACTTTGGAGCCTCTAAGGATTTTAGAAGTTGTATGCCAGAAAACATGAAGTTGAAGATCAGATATGTCTTTCGTACATCACAGATTTCATGATACTCTCTTTGACAACAGGAAAAGTTCTCATTTTTCCACGAGTAGATTAAATCTACCAAAGAATTTTCTTATGTGAACTATTTACATTTTTAAATATTTTGACCTAATTTCACTTTTACAGAACAGTTGTGAGAGTAAGCACAAAGATGCGCAGGTGTGCTCCACCCAGAATCTCTAAATTTTGCTGTATTCACTTTTCTTTCATAGGAACTCTTATACTTGGAGGGGGCCATAGAGAACATTTATTCCAATATTCTTGTATTTGAGACTAGGGAACCAGACCCAACCACTCAGTCTCCTGCCCATGGTACTGACTGGTACCCACAGCCTCCAAGCCTCAGCTCCGAGTCCACTTCCTTTTCCCAGCCACACATCACCACATCATCACAACAGCTCCTGTTTCAACAGCTCGCTTCCCAAATGCTTAGAGCTGTGGTTGGCACGTAAGGGATACCAACACCTCACAACCCTTCCAGACTCGTCTGAAATGGACTTGTTGCCACTGTTCACTCTACAAATCACACCTGCTGGAATATCAGCCCTTTTAGGAGAACAGGTTTGCATCAGCAATGACACCTGCTTTGGAGAGAGGAAATAATTCCGCTGGGAAAAGTGAAAAATTATTTACCCCTCCTTAGTTTGAGGAAAAATATTTAAGTCATTATCTATGTGAAATTTTCATTGTCCCAACGCCTCTTAATTTGTCCTTTTTATTTCCTAGTGAAAAGTAAAATATGTTTGCTCTTGCAAAATTGCGCAATGAAGACGCTCGGGGATATTGCCTTTCTTTCCTTCCCCTCTCTGGTTGAGCTAGTGGTGAGAAAAGGCATAAAGGAACACAGAGGAGGGAGAGGTGGAATTTGCTTTAGAGAACACTCTTTCAGCAAGCGTCTCTTCCTGCTTGTCTCCTGCCGTTGGCAACGGCAGTCCCGCTCACTCTGCACCCGCGGCTCCTGAGATAATGTGTTACAGGTGATGAAGCCGCTCATAGCCCTCACTGAGATTCCTACAGCAATAACCTGAGAGTTATAAATTCACTTATGGACCTAAACAAATGAACAGGAGTAAGTATCCTACTCTGCAGCCAACCTGTTTATCTGGTGGAGCAAACTTTGCCTTGAACATATGGTTGAACAATGCCTGTGAAGAGAAGCAAGTGCCTTCTTCCCATGTGACTAGGTCTGACTTGGGATGAGTGGGCAATGCCAAGGCCTGTACGAGTTTTCCTGTGGCTCTTTTCCAACTCTCAGGTGGGCATGGAGCATTTCAGCAGAGGAAATCTTGATTGATTATAGAGAAGTTTACCTCCACTTGTGTAGTTTTCTCATTAACATAAGTTGACGATAACTTCCCTTCAGGAAAATGTCAGGAAGGTCTCTGAAAACGCTGTATTAGGTTTCACAAGTTGCACTGGAATATGTATACTCTTATAGGGCAGGTTAAGACCATAAACATACAAAAGTCACAGTGCCCAGGTGTGGGGCCTCAAAACCACCTGCAGCTGGGGAATGGCCTTTCCACCTAAAACTGTGAAAATAAATTTTAGGGGAGAGAGAGTCAGGGAGATGAGGTGAGCAATATGGACAATTCTCTTGATCTCGTCTGAGTCCAAAGCAAATGATGTTTTGTAAACCTGTCTTTGTGGATTTTCCAATTTTCAGCTGAATGCTGAACCCTTTAAATTTGCTGCTGCCTTTCAGATACTTATTACAAAGAAGCTTGTTTGGAGAAGAGGTTACTCCCAGGTTAGGGGAAGGGCAAATGTCTCCCGTTTCAAGCATCAGAAACTGCATTTTCAGTACAGGAATAAGGGTGATGGGTTTTGTCCTGAATTTATGTGTGTATAAACCAACGAAAATGAAGCTGGAAGAAGCTTTGTATGTAGAGCAGTATTATACAGCAATGTTCATTTAGCAAAGCATGGTGATAGCATTGGAGTGTCATCTTACAAACCCACTGCAGCCCATGGCATGTGCCAGAGAAAGTCAAAGATGCACAGCCATCCCTGAGGAGAGGGACAGAGACTGAGGATCTGCTTGCTTCTTCGAGGCTGGTACTGAGATAATGTCACAAGGAGTGTTTTCTAAGGCGTGGGTGGAGAAAAGTGGAGTTTCTCTAACAGGAAATTCTTTAAGCTAGAAAAATGTTCAAGCAGCCATTGTAAAGATGTGCTTGGAAGGTCAAGAATTGAGACCTTGGATACTGACAGCAAGTACCCCTAAATTTGGAACCTGAATTAAGAAAGCTAATCCCTTTGAGTCCACTTTGACTAGTTAGCCATTGTGGAGTGAGTAGCCCCGTCTGCTCTGCAGAACTTCAGGTGATGCTGGGGGGCTGAAAAGCAGCATAGGACTCACCAAAGCATCCTCTATCAGCTACAGGAACCACACATTATACAAGTTAATAATAATCACATCCTTGAATTCCCTGCTCCCGTCCACACCATAAATGCCCTGGTGGCAACCGCCTCCTGCAAGCTCTTCGGGATCACAGACAGCTCACAGTGCAGCTCCTACCTTCTGCTTCGGAAGCAAAGTTTACCTTCTTTGAATAGTTTGGGTGAGGTCCTCGCTAACATCAAAAGGACAATGAATATCTCAATTGGTGTTTAATATTTTATTTTGTGCCATTTTAAAAAGCAATTTAGATTTTACGTGAATTAGACGGGTGTGTCTTACTCCCATCCAGATAAAATATGGGCAGGGAAGCCTGGACTCCTGGAGATGTTCCTGCAGGAAGTCCATGGGCACCTGAGTAGTTGGAATGGGAAGGGAGAGTTTGACCCGAGACAGAGCATGAGCTCCTCCCAGGAACAAAGGCTTTATGAAAATATCCTGCTTCCCATCCCTGGGAGAGGGTCAGGGTGGGCGGAAGGGTCAGGAGAAAGAAAGATCATCAAAGAAGAAAGTCAACCAAAAACTGGAAAAGAGCGGACCCATCCCATTGTTTCCACTGAATTCATGTCATGAGAACAGACTCCTGGGGTCCCATTTCCTGTCTCTCCTGCACTTTTTCTCATGAGAATCTTGTCTTGGACTATGGGCCTGTAACAGTTTTGGACAGTCAAGGGCACCAGGCTATCAGCTGAGAATAAGGTATAGGGAAAGACAGCCTCCTTGGCAATCAAATGATTAAGCCAAGAGATGAAGCATCAGCCTTTTATTAAACTCTCATGCTAGCTACGTGTTCATTTCCTAAAGCGTCTTCTCTAGACCAGTGGAAGAGTGTAAAATGGGAATGCAATCCAGCTTGCTAACATTACATCAGAAGCTCAGTTTGGTATGGTACCTCATCCCCTCGTGTTGCCCTCACCCAGCAAACAAACAAAACCCTGCTAAATCTCAGTCCCAGAAAACAAACAGCTCGACCACTATGGGAGGAGATCACTTTTCTGGGAAATCTGGAGAAGAAAACAATTGATTCCATTCTGTCACGAATGGTTTGGTCTCATCTCCACATAGACGCTGAAGTGGAACTGAACAATCTCATGGATCTATCCTCTTTTTCTCTCTTTACATAACCCACCTCCTTTTCCCATCAGGGCTACAGAAAATAGGACATAACTGGGTCATTAGGTTCAGGCCCAGAGATCTGTCAAAAGGTCAATGGAGTGATATTTTCACAGCTAACAAGAGAGTAGTTTTCCCACTGACAATGTGGGGGTGAGAGACATTTGTGCTTCCCTGATTTCCTATCAAGTTTAGATTGCAAGTTTAGATAGCTGCATGGATGGGTAGATGATAGAGAGACGATAGGAGATGGATTGATAGATACATGAGATAGGAAAATAGGCAGACAAGTGCACTCTATAAAAGAGGAGATGAAGGGGAAAATTAGAAAAATGACAAAGTTCTTTTTGGAGTTTTTCGTTTGTTGGCCTGTGTTTTGGTTCTGTTTATATTTAAAATAGAGTATAGGGATTGTAAAGACGGTGGCCAGGTGAACTCTTGTCTCAAAGCCTTGCATCTCTCTTCTAGCAGGGCTGTTGTAAGATGAGTCATCAGGACCCAGAAAAGGCAACGTAGCAAGCCACCGTCCGCCAGATCACCTTTTCTAGAGTGCAGTGGGTTATCTTCCTCATGAGTGAGCCCAGAGGAAACACTGGATCTCCATGGAAAAATCACCCCCATAAAGGGAAGCAGACCCCGACCTGGGCCGCAATCTTCACCCAGCCCTCCATCTTCTAAAAATAACAGCGCCAGGCCACTCTTCCTTCCAGCTGCAGGCTCAGGACAGGGACTTTCTAAAAAAAAAGAAAAAGAAAAAGCACTTCTTCCTGTTTCACTAGTACTAGACACAGATGGCCAAGGACTCCCCACACAGATGCCCTAAATTTCACGTCCACTGTGACCAGGATGATGTGAAAGGGAAAACAGGCTGCTGCTGGCCATGGTTAGAGAACCGGGAAACAGGGCAGCTGTCCGTGGGGCTTTGGCCATTAGAGCCACGGGAAAGACATTCGCTGATTTCGCCTGTTTTCCTACCCTCTCCACAAAGCAAGGGCAGGTGTTTTAGAGACGCTTTGGTGTTTTAGAGATAGGCGGGTGTTTTAGATATGCTTTGGGTTGGAGCTAGATGTTACATCTTCACTCAGAGGGACCTGAGTGCACACACAAGCCAGTTCCTGGGCACTGGGTTCCACTCTTGTGTGCTGCTAAGTGGTAGGGCCCTGGTTTTCTAGAAGAGCAAAGCAGCTTTCTATCATACCAAAGCAGCTTGAGTCTCACGCTGGTCCTCAGGCAGCAAAGCAAAGGATGGGTAATACTTCCCTCCACAAACGAAGGTTCAACCAGAGAGGCTCCCATGCTCCTGGGGTACCCACAATGTTCCAACAGCCTCCTGATGGGTCCTAGTGGTGAAAAGATGCAACGGCCCAGCGCCAGGCCTCAGGGGACCTCCCCCATCCCCCCACAGCATCTGTCCCACGGGTCACTGCAGCCTCAGCCTCAGGCAAAACCTCTGGAAATCAGGAAATCTCCAGCTGTTTCCACAAAACCTCTAGCCCTTCGTTCTACTCTGCACAAACCCTCTCCTGGGAACTATATTAAAAATGAAATTAAATTTTATAAGAGCAGGCATTATATTGCCAGTTCTCACTGTGTACTGTATAGGTACATAGCCTGAGCTTGATCACATATGGGATTTTTGTTCTTTGTATAACAATTTGGGAATCAAGCACTTAGTCCATACTATAACCTCCATTATAAAACTTTTCTGTTAATAAATTAGATTAGACTTACATCATTTCAACTTGTAGTGCCTTTCCCAGAAACATAACCAGCCATAAGTTCCAGGAATGCAGTTTTGACCAGAGGGAAAAAGGGGCTCAAGGCCAAAGACCTGGGTTCAATCCCCTTTCTCTGCTACTTCCTGGCTGAATTTCTTAGGGAAGTTGCTCAGCTTCCTCCCATGTGAACTGTAGTTAATGGTAACAGCCACCTGCCTTGCTTGTTTTCATGATCAACTGTGAAGATAAAATAAAAGCACTTTATAAATGCTTTATGAACATCAGCTAGAAAGATAAATACCTTTGCTTGAAGCAGTCAATAATGATGAAATCCATACAAGCCAATCAACATTTCATTTAATGTTCCATGTTCCATTTCCAAAGGGAAAAAATTCTCTCCACAGAAGTTGGTAAAAATAGAGGAGTATTAGTTTGCTAGAGCTGCCATGACAAAGTACCACAGACTGGGCAGCTTAAACAACAGAAATTTATTCTCTCACAGTTCTGGAGGCTGGAAGCCTGAGATCGGGTTGTGTAGGGCTGGATTCTCCTTGGGGCCTCCCTCCTTGGCTTGTAGATGACGTCTTCTCCCTGTGTCCTCACATGGTGGTCCTTCTGTGCGTGTCTGTGTCCTAATCTCCTCTTCTTACACAGTCCCCAGTCAGATTGGATTGGAGTCCACCGTGGTCACCTAATTTTAATTTCACGACCTCTCTAAAGGCCCTGTCTCTAAACACAGCCACATTCTGAGGAACTGGGGGAGTTGGAGCAGGACACAGTTCAGCCCACATCAGATGGGTAGGACAGAAACTTCACCCATAAATTGAACTTGTTCATTTACTTTTTTCACTCTTTAATTTCAATCATCGAGTTCATTCAAAGAATGGTCTCTGATATAATGAATCTAGAAACTTTGGGCTGGCCTCATTTTCTCTACAACTTGATTTGTGGCCACGCTTACTAAGCCCGGGAACGTTCACTTTTGTAGAAGAAGAAAAGGAACAACAACCGCAGACAGAGTCCTGGCCGTGTCTGAACCACCTGCCCCAGGGTGGGGCTGTTTCTCCAGCTCTGCCAGGGAAGCATTTGGCAGTCCAGAGCTGATGAACTTCCATGCGTTTATTTCCCTCCAAAGGTTTTCAGAGTTTGCTAGGCCTTACTTTCATTGGCCAATTCAGACAAGAAAAGCTGACGTCCTGAGTGCTCCTCATCAACAGTCTCCCTGACGTCACCATTCAGGGAACCCTGACCCTACTCTCAACAGTGCAGCTGTGCTCAGGATGAGGTACAAAATAAAATTAATGAAGAGAAACTGTAATTTTACTCAAGAATGGATGCCAAAGCCACTATTTTACTGCAGGATAATTTGACAGAAATATGCTTATACATTTCCATAAAGGATTTTCATCACACGTTCCTTCAGTGGAGGTAGGTCTCATATTTAGTAGAAAAAAGTATTTTCGTGTCCATAGTATAATAAACATTCTGCTTTCAAATAACAATTGCTTCTTATCTCTAAGCTGAAAACTTAAAAAGTAGTTTCATACTTAACATCTCACTTTAAAAATCTTACCACCACCTCTCTTTAGGTAATTGGCATTCTAAAAGGATTTTAATTTGTTTATGATTAAGAAGCTGTGTCCTGTAGTAACAAAAGGAGACATACATTAATTGGATTTAATCAAAGCTTAAAACTTTTTATTTAAGACACCATCAAGAAAGTGAAAAGACCCGGGCGCAGTGGCTCACACCTATAATCCCAACACTCTTGGAGGCCAACGTGGGTGGATCACCTGAGGTCAGGAGTTCAAGACCAGCCTGGCCAACATGATGAAACCTCGTCTCTACTAAAAATACAAAAATTAGCTGGGCATGGTGGTGCACACCTGTAATCCCAGCTACTTGGGAGGCTGAGGCACGAGAATTGCTTGAACCCAGGAGACGGAGGTTGCAGTGAGGTGAAATCACACGACCGCACTCTAGCCTGGGAGACAGAGTGAGACTCCGTTAAAAAAAAAAAAAAAAAAAAAGACAACCCACAGAATGAAAGAAAATATTCTCGAGTCATGTATCTGATAAGAGGCTTGTATCTAGAATATATGCACTCAATAATAAAAAGGCCGATAACCCAATTTCAAAATGAGCAAAAGACTTACATAGACATTTCTCTGAAGATATGCAAAAGGACGACAAGCACATGAAAACATGAAAAGATGCTCAGCCTCATTAGCCACCAGGGGAATACCAAACAAAACCACACTGAGGTGCCACTTCCCACTGACTAGCATGGCTCCAATCAAAAAGAGACAATAGCAAGTGTTGGCGAGGATGTGGAGAAATCGGAACCTCGTACGTTACTGGTGGGAATGTAAAATTGTACATCTTTGAAAAATAGTCTGGGAGTTCCTCAAAAGGTTAAAGATAGAGTTGCCATATGACCCAGCAACTCCATTCATAGATATATACCTAAGAGAAATGAAAACATACATCCACATGAAAACTTGTATAGTTTGAGCATTGGTTATCCAAAATGCTTGGGACCAGAAGTGCTTCAAGTTCCAGATTTTTTGGCGGGGAGGATTTTGGAATATTTCCATATACATAATGAGATATCTTGGGGATGGGACCCAAGTCTAAACATGGAATTCATTTATGTTTCATGTACACCTTATACACACAGCCTGATGGTAATCTTATACAACATTTCTAATAATTTTGTGCATGAAACAAAACGTGTGTACACTGAACCATCAGAAAGCGAAGGTGTCATTATCTCAGCCACCCATGTTATGGGTCTTGGCCCCTTGTGGGGCCCTGTGGGGAACCTACCATTGGTGTGTCCAGCCTGCACACTTGCCATTTTATTACCCTTTGTAGGTGTGCTGTCCTGGGGGGAGTTGGGGCATGTTATGGAAAGATATTTCCCAGCTGAAGGGGGATGTGTTTCCACTTAGGGACGCTGAATAAATTGTGTTGTGCGCCTGCATTTTTACTGGGACCCGTCACATGGGGTCAGGTGGAGAATTTTCCACTTCTGGTGTCATGTTCATGATCAAAAAGTTTCAGATTTTGGAGCATTTTGGATTTCAGATTTTTGGATTAGGGATGCTCAACCTGTATATGAATGGCATCATTATCCATAACAGGCAAAAAGTCAGAACAATCTAAATGTTCATCAGCTGATGAGTGAATAAATAGTGTGCTGTATTCATGCAATGGAATGTTATTTGGCCATGATAAGAAATGAAGTATTGGTACAAGTTTCACTGATACATGCTGCAATGAACCTTGAAAATATTAGGCTAAGTGAACGAAGCCAGACACAGAAGATCCATTTTGTCTGAGTCCGTTTACAAGAAATATCCAGAAAAGGCAGATCTAGGGAGACACAAAATAGATTTATGGGTGTCAATGACTGCGGGTGGGAGGGAGAAAGGCGGAGTGGCTGCTAAGAGGTACAGGGCTTTTTGGAGGGTGATAAATATGTTCTCACATCTATCCTGACGATGGTTACACGACTCTAATCCACTAAACAACATTGAATTGCACCCTTTAAGTCGGTAAAGGCATATGGTATGCAAGTTATATCTCAACAAAGCTGTTATTAAAGAAAGGAAAAGCTGAGTCCTGCCACACCTCATGTCATGTCACCTCTTCATTTAACAGGTCACTGGGCCTGTTCTCATAGTCTTTAAAGAAAAGAGTGGCAATATATACTTTAGTCCCACCCATGATTGTGAATGTTTGGGTAAGTTCAACTGGAAATGTGACACACCTTCAGGAAATCTGTGGCAGGACCCATACGAGAAAAACATTTGGACTAGCAAGTAGAACTCAGGGTCCACCTCATTCCTCAAGAGTGATGGCCGAGGGCACACCCCAGGGACAAGGTCAGTGGTTGATACGAGGAGGCATATTTAGAGTTCCTCTACTCAGCATCCCGGGATGTGTGTCCCAGCGGGCTTGCCTCCTGGGGCTGGGGTTGTACACAGAAAAGACGAAATCTCCATGCACATGTTGCTGGGCAACCTTGTCTATTTTATTCATCATTGTATTTCCCGGCACAGCAGATGCTCCATAAATGCTGAATGAATAAGTGAATAAAAAGCTTATGTGTTTTTTCCTTACCCCTCATCACCTTAGCATTTGTCCTGAAATATGAGGCACAGCCATCTGGAAAATGGGCTTCCTGCATGTCCAAGGAGGAAGCTGGTCTCCCTGCACAGCTGTATTTTCCATCTTGCTCTTACCCATAACAGGTATTTTAACTCAGAAGGAGAGATGTGATTGTTGCTAAATGCATAGTGGGCGCTGGGCTCAGTTCCCGATTGCAAGTGTGTAGGAAACATAACTTCCTTGTTCTGTAGGTGAGCTGACCTCGATGAGAAGCCCCATTCTGCACTGACAGAGATGCTCTGCACCAACCTGGGGTCCCTGTGATTCCACAGGAGACAGGAGGATCGCCTGGGGGTGGGTGGAGCCTCACGGTCCACTCATGCAGGGTGCTGTGGAGACACCCTGCTGGCCCTCTGGTTGGGATACAGGCAGGTCCTGGCTGCCCCTCACACCTCTCCCCTGCCACAACCATGCAGCCCTTGGGTGTCCAGGAAACGTTTGATGGCTCCAGGACAGAAACCTCCGCAAGGCTCCCAACCTGGTCCTCCAGACACACCCGCAGACCTCTCCTCTGTCCCTGCTCCACGCTGGGCACTCTGAAGTCAGCCCCCAGCCTCACCTCCACCACCAGCCCAGGGCATGAGGGGCAGAATACAGGGTCCCTGGGGAGGGCCACCACTCTCGCGGCCCACTTCCCCTCCAGCTGTCCAGCTTCCCACTCAAGAAATACTTTCTGGGGCCCATTGTGAGTTCTGTGCCAGGGTCCAGACTTTTCAGATTCAAAAACCAAGAAATCAGCTAGTGTGTTATCTGTGTTCTGCTATGTTTTACCTGAGGAGGACATTCCCTGGAAATAAAGGCAGAGTGGGCCAGTGCCCAGTGAGGGATGGTCGAAGTAACAGGAAATACCCAGGAGACCACTCAGTGGCCTTGTCCTGAAGATTCCACTGTAGAATTTTACAAAAGTTAAGAAGCATGTTGAGTGCAACCACATCAGGCAAGCAAGAGGAGAGGAGGGGAGCCTGTTGCTGCTGTACAAGGCAGATCTTCGGCCACAGACCCACCAGCTCCAGATGCAGCCCAGCTTCCACCAAAGACAAGGCGAAATGGGAGTGGGTGGGCAGATACCTGGTCCTCAAAGTTGGAAGATGAAATCCTCGCAGACTTCTGCTTCATATCTTCTACCATGACCCTTTTGGAAGGTGTCAGGGCAGATGGCCCTACTGCAGAATTTAGGTCCTGGAGGTAGAGGGAGGGCTCTGCTCTGCTGTCCCCGGGTGGGCCTGGCTCTAGAGACTTCCCCTGTGGGGCACGCTGGGAAAGAAGGAGTCTCAAACCCATGTCATGTCACAAACAGCTGACACACGCCAAGAGCTTCTAGTCCAAGCTGGAGAAAGGAGGTGCTGGAAAGGCTGGGACCAACCCAGGTTGCCTTCAAATATCCCGAGGCTGTCAGAGAACAAAAGAATGAGGAGGAAGTTACAGGGAGGTGGGGTTTATTCAAATAAGAAAGATCAGGTAGTTTCTGTGAGAGTTAGCACCTCGTCCCTAAGTGCGTCCGGGCCGAGTTTGACTAGCAAGGCAGGACTGTCATGAAAGAGGTTTTCCATTAAACAGTTTCATCCAAATGGTCTCTGAAGTCACAGCTGACTGTTAAGAGTCTATGACTACAGTGTCCAGGTCAAGGTTGGCTGATATTGGATATTGAAGCAAATATCAAACCAAAGAGCCAAATGATCCATCTTTTAGAATAGATTCACATTTTTTTTTTTTTGAGACAGAGTTTCGCTCTGTCGCCCAGGCTGGAGTGCAGTGGCGCGATCTCGACTCACTGCAAGCTCCGCCTCCCGGGTTCACGCCATTCTCCTGCCTCAGCCTCCCATGTAGCTGGGACTACAGGCGCGCGCCACCACACCCGGCTATTTTTTTGTATTTTTAGTAGAGACAGGGTTTCACCGTGTTAGCCAGGATGGTCTCGATCTCCTGACCTCGTGATCCGCCCGTCTCGGCCTCCCAAAGTGCTGGGATTACAGGCGTGAGCCACCGCGCCCGGCCTAGATTCACATTTTTTAAAATCCCATTTCTGTTTATTATGAAGTCACTTTTATCTAATTGTTCATAAAAATGAATCTTAAAAATCTACACTTAGTTGAAAGTTCATAAAACATGTAATTAGGGCATTGCACGTCCACCACACATCTGGATTTATGAGTTCATTGAAAGCTGACAACAATCACTGAGATCACTCGTGAGTCCTGGCCGCCTGTCAGAGGCCAAAGGCTGCAGCTATCCTTTAACAGCCTGGTCTTTGCACTGGCCAAAGAGACAGTCAATGTCAGTCAGCATTTGCTGTTAATAGTGGATGTGGCCAGGTGTGGTGGCTTACGCCTGTAATCCCAGCACTTTGGGAGGCCAGGGAGGGCAGATCACCTGAGGTCGGGAGTTCGAGACCAGCCTGACCAACATGGAGAAACCCCATCTCTACTAAAAATACTAAATTAGCCGGGCGTGGCGGTGCATGCCTGTAATCCCAACTACTTGGGAGGCTGAGGCAGGAGAATTGCTTGAACCCAGGAGGTGGAGGTTGCAGTGAGCCAAGGTCATGCCGCCATTGCACTCCAGCCTGGGCAACAAGAGCAAAACTCCATGTCAAAAAAAAAAATAGATGTGATATGAAACTTTTACTAAGCATTTTATCTCTGCAAATATAAATTTGTCTAACACAAGCAGATCTGCAAATTTTCAATTTTCTGACAGTAAGTCACACACTTTAAGATTATATTTAATTACAAAAAAAAAAAAAGCCTTCTTTTGGGGGTAGAGGAGTTTGCGCCAGGCAGAAGGTCTGTTTTCAGATCTGTAAATGGGAGTGATAAGGGAACGTGGAGGTCTCTAAGGAAACACTCTACTATAAAGATTATGAGTCTAAACCCGCTCCTTGTCGATGGGGCCAGCTGCAAGAGTTCTTCCCTGTTTTTCTGGAATTTAAGTGTCTAGTCATAGTTCATCAGCTCATTTGCATTACTAAGTGGCCTCTTTACGTATAGTCTCTTGAGATAAGTATCAAAAATTCTAAAATCTGAGTTCAGAGGTTTTCCTTTTCATACCAGCTGCCTTTTACCTCTCTCCCTTCCCCACACACTTATTTCATCTGGCTTTATTTTGGGCACCAAAGGAGAAAAATGTCACACACACAAAAGTCAACCTGTCTTTTATTTCTATTTGGAGGGGAAAATATGCCCTATTTGTTATTTTCGAAACAGATGATTTTGGGGGTGGGGAACATAGTATTTTCAGGAAGTAGCCAGCCAGGTACCAGCAAACTCGAACTGAAACCCTGCAGCCGGTCCCGGCCCGTTCTGTGGCCGCCAAATTCAGTGCTGAAGTCAGGAGTCTCAGCCCGGGCAAGCCAGGGAGGGCCAGTTCCACTTTTGGCTGCAAAAAGTAGATTAAATGGAAAAATACTTTTAAAAGTAGCCCACACCTTTCTTTACTTTTCGGTTTCACTTGATTAACTCTCTCGGGTTATTTTTTTCTTAATGGTAAACTTAGGCAATGGAGGGTTTGGTTGACCTGTGTCAGCCCTCGGGGTTTATTCTGACCAACTTAACCTTTATGTTAAATAACTGTTTATATCACTGTTTATCATTCCTAATGCCAGTATTGAAACAGGAGCTGATAAAATGGGTCCACGCAGCCCTGTCACCATTTTCCTCTCAGAAAAGGTATGAATTTGTGAAGGAGTTGCTATCTGTCGTCCTTAAGTAAGTAAGATAAAGGAGTTATAAAATGGGCGTACTCTACTTACAGTCAGTATGAGAAGTCCCACCTGAGATTAGCCCTTGGAAACTGTAAATTAAAATGAAAACATTGTGTGCAAACAGTCACTTGGTCTCAGCCCAGAGGAGGGCAGGGAGAGGTACTTCTGGAAAGTTAGCTGCCCCTCCTGGGTCAGCCACCCCAGCCCCTTTCCCTGATGCCCCCAGAGTGCCAAAAATGTCACCCTGAGAGGCCGCTCCTGGGCTCACACTGTTGGGCCTTCCAGCCCCCTGACGCATCAGTGGTGTCCAGGCAGGGACCCCCACACAGGCCTTGGGGCCTCCGTTTGTCTAAGGTGACTCCACCCTTCGGGCCTGTCCTGCAGAGAGCCCCGCTGCATGTGAAGGTCTTCAGGAGGCCAGCAACCCCGGTGATAGCCTTTGGGTGGTCCCTGTCTCACTGAACTAGGACCCTTGGCTTACAGCCTTGCCACCTCATGCAACCCTGAATCCCCAAGACAGGATATGCACCACCTGGCATACAGAAAATGCGCTGTCAATGCCGAACAAAGGCACAAATGTTCACTTTGCTGTCTGCAATGCTCTCACCCAAACCCAGTAAGTCAAAACCAAAATGCCAAAGTAACTACATTCCTTTCTTTTTTTTCTTTTTTTTGAGACGGAGTCTCGCTCTGTTGCCCAGGCTGGAGTGCAGTGGCACGATCTTGGCTCACTGCAACCTCCGCCTCCTGCATTCCAGTCATTCTGCTGCCTCAGCCTCCCAAGTAGCTGGAACTACAAGCATGCGCCACCACACTGGGCGAATTTTTGTATTTTTTTTTTTTAGTAGAGACGGGGTTTCAGCATATTGACCAGGTTGTCTCGAACTCCTGACCTCGTGATCAGCCCGCCTCGACCTCCCAAAGTGCTGGGATTACAGGCGTGAGCCACCGCGACCGGCCTACACTCTTTTCTGTAACATGTGGTTCTATAGCCTCTTCACACAAGGTGGGAACTGCCAGGAGTCAAACCCTAGAGAAAATGGAGAACAATTGTCCCCAGACACAGTCCCTTGGCATCTGGCGATGACACGCATTCCTGGAAACAGTAACAAGTAGGCAAATAAGGGATTTCACCAATACGCCCTCCCACCAAGAAGCTCAGGAAACACACAAGTAGTTCCCAGTGACTTTCCCATTAGCTATGTTTTCCCTCAGAGAGTAAAAAATAAATATCTCTAGGCTCTGGAATTACTTCGAAAATAAAATAAAAGCTAGGTTGTGCTATGCGGGATGCAAACCTTTACTAAAAACTCAGACAGCCTCCTATGTTCCTGACAAGCCCTTATCTTGAGGATTTTTATTTAGGAACTAATAAAAAGTCTAGGAAAACATAAGTAGCTACATAAATATCTTAGAGCTACAAATGCTTACTCAGAACAGTCTCAGGTTACTTCTGAGATTCTGAACCCCACCTAAATATCTTCACAAGTAACATTTTCTTAAACTTGTGCACAGCAAAGGCCTTTCTTGATAAGATCTGTATTTCTAGAATTAAAGAAGCTGATCTCAAAGATGCGTAAGGGAGGGTGGAGAAAGGAAAGACAGGCAGGAGTGGGCACCCTGTTCTGTGCAGTCAGGGTCTTGCTAGGTCACCAGGGCTGGTCTTGAACTCCTGGCTTTAAGCAATCCTCCCGCCTCAGCCTCCCAAAGTGCCGGGAGTAAACCACACCTGGCCACATTTTATATTCTTTATATTTAAAATTATAAACAGGATATACTTCCAAAACAATAGCATAAATCAATTACTGCTGGGTATGCAAATGACAGCAAGGAAGCTTCCTAAAGCAGGAGAAAAGCTAGGTGGGGGCCATCATTCCTCCTCTCTTTGGACAAGACTCCATTAACTGTCTGAGGTGAGAAACACCCAGGTATTATCTACCTTTCTCCTTGTGCCCTCATTTAAGCAAACAAATTGACCCCCAAAAAAGGCACTTTTGAAAGCCCTTTGCAATTTTTGCTATGATTTCAGAACAATTGTGTTCATGCTCTTACTGGCAAACCCAACTGTAACATATCCCAAGGGGGCTGTTCAACTTATTTCATGGAAATGGAATATTCCAATTGACTTAAATGTTACTTTGAGTAAGTAGACAATTGCCTGAAGCAAAGACTTGTTGGTAAAAGTATAGCACCAAGTTATATTTATGGTAATGAGATTTGATCTGTAACCAGACTTCAGTAACTGGGTGCCGAGACCAGCGTCCCTCACACAGCAGGCATGGCAGGTGAGTCTCATGCCCTAACACCTCTTTTCTTTTAATAAAGGTGCTGCCTTCCAACAGCACACTGGACTGCTGGAAGCTTGCTTTCCAGATACAGAAATAATATGACTCAGGAAGTGGTGGCTTCCCGATGTGGATTCTTGTCCTGCTCCAACAGCACACTGGACTGCTGGAAGCTTGCTTTCCAGATACAGAAATAATATGACTCAGGAAGTGGTGGCTTCCCGATGTGGATTCTTGTCCTGCTCCAACAGCACACTGGACTGCTGGAAGCTTGCTTTCCAGATACAGAAATAATATGACTCAGGAAGTGGTGGCTTCCCGATGTGGATTCTTGTCCTGCTCCAACAGCACACTGGACTGCTGGAAGCTTGCTTTCCAGATACAGAAATAATATGACTCAGGAAGTGGTGGCTTCCCGATGTGGATTCTTGTCCTGCTCCAACAGCACACTGGACTGCTGGAAGCTTGCTTTCCAGATACAGAAATAATATGACTCAGGAAGTGGCGGCTTCCCGATGTGGATTCTTGTCCTGCTCCAACAGCACACTGGACTGCTGGAAGCTTGCTTTCCAGATACAGAAATAACATGACTCAGGAAGTGGTGGCTTCCCGATGTGGATTCTTGTCCTGCTCCAACAGCACACTGGACTGCTGGAAGCTTGCTTTCCAGATACAGAAATAACATGACTCAGGAAGTGGTGGCTTCCCGATGTGGATTCTTGTCCTGCTCCAACAGCACACTGGACTGCTGGAAGCTTGCTTTCCAGATACAGAAATAATATGACTCAGGAAGTGGTGGCTTCCCGATGTGGATTCTTGTCCTGCTCCAACAGCACACTGGACTGCTGGAAGCTTGCTTTCCAGATACAGAAATAATATGACTCAGGAAGTGGTGGCTTCCCGATGTGGATTCTTGTCCTGCTCCAACAGCACACTGGACTGCTGGAAGCTTGCTTTCCAGATACAGAAATAATATGACTCAGGAAGTGGTGGCTTCCCGATGTGGATTCTTGTCCTGCTCCAACAGCACACTGGACTGCTGGAAGCTTGCTTTCCAGATACAGAAATAATATGACTCAGGAAGTGGTGGCTTCCCGATGTGGATTCTTGTCCTGCTCCAACAGCACACTGGACTGCTGGAAGCTTGCTTTCCAGATACAGAAATAATATGACTCAGGAAGTGGTGGCTTCCCGATGTGGATTCTTGTCCTGCTCCAACAGCACACTGGACTGCTGGAAGCTTGCTTTCCAGATACAGAAATAATATGACTCAGGAAGTGGTGGCTTCCCGATGTGGATTCTTGTCCTGCTCCAACAGCACACTGGACTGCTGGAAGCTTGCTTTCCAGATACAGAAATAACATGACTCAGGAAGTGGTGGCTTCCCGATGTGGATTCTTGTCCTGCTCCAACAGCACACTGGACTGCTGGAAGCTTGCTTTCCAGATACAGAAATAATATGACTCAGGAAGTGGTGGCTTCCCGATGTGGATTCTTGTCCTGCTCCAACAGCACACTGGACTGCTGGAAGCTTGCTTTCCAGATACAGAAATAACATGACTCAGGAAGTGGTGGCTTCCCGATGTGGATTCTTGTCCTGCTCCAACAGCACACTGGACTGCTGGAAGCTTGCTTTCCAGATACAGAAATAATATGACTCAGGAAGTGGTGGCTTCCCGATGTGGATTCTTGTCCTGCTCCAACAGCACACTGGACTGCTGGAAGCTTGCTTTCCAGATACAGAAATAACATGACTCAGGAAGTGGTGGCTTCCCGATGTGGATTCTTGTCCTGCTCCAACAGCACACTGGACTGCTGGAAGCTTGCTTTCCAGATACAGAAATAATATGACTCAGGAAGTGGTGGCTTCCCGATGTGGATTCTTGTCCTGCTACCTTCAGTGACGCACTCTGTTCCTCCTTCCTTCGATGACCCTGGCACTGGTGTCCAGGGCTCTGAGCCTACAGAAGCCACAGAACCTCGGGGATTCTGCATAGTGGCATCATGGTGGCTGCAGGAGCTGTCTTTCTCCCAGGCCCTTGGAGAGCAAGGCCCCACCTGCTCAGGGTGGGGCTGCTCCCTGCGCCCATCCTTGGATAATCAATGGGGTGGCCCTAATGAGGTTGTGACAGCCCTCAAGAGGCAAACATCATAAGAGGGGGTTGAGAGGCTGGTCCAGGGCCAGGCCACCTTAGTGGGGCGTGGGAAGGGAACCATACAGGAGCAGCAGCAGAAAAGTAGCCCCCTGTGCCTAGGCCAAGAGCAGCGGAACAGAGGGCCCCACGGGGGGCAGGCAGAAGGTGTGCGGGGCCTGGGGCCTGCCAGGAGGAGAGGGTGTCAGGGCTTCCACTGGGGCCACTCCCAGCCAAAGCCTATCTCAGCTACTTTTGCTGTGTTTTCCACATCTGAATGGCGCGCTTCCATGTGGGAACAGGATCCCAGTGGCTGCGGTAGAGTGTCTAAACTAGGTGAGAGAACCCGCTGAGTCTTCCCTGGGCCCCTCCCTTTGGACCCATTGGCCCCTCTAGCTCTGCCCCTTCATTCTACAGCAGTGTTGCTGTAGGTGTGTTTATGTTCCAGAGAGCACCAGCCACAAATGTGAACGTAACATACACACACACACACACACACACACACCAGACTGTGGTTAAAATGTTCGGAAAATGCCACATTACCGTAGAATCCCATTAAAGGCTCAAACTAATGTCACAGCAAGGAGCTCTTTCATTTACTTCAACCCCATGTTCCCCCAATTCATCTTCCCACAGAACCTTGCGTGGCGGAATATCTACCCTGAGGCCATTTGTGCGATGTGGAGCGCTCCCTGGGAATCGCAGATGTGACCAATTTCCTTGTCTATTGGCTAAACCATTAGATCATCTTACAGTGTGGGACTTAAGTCAGGTGAGGCAGGTGAAGACAGGCCAGTGGGGAGGAGTGGGGGGCTCCAGGCACCAGAGCCTCTCCTGCATGCTGCACCAGAGCCTCTCCTGCATGCTGCACCAGAGCCTCTCCTGCATGCTGCACCAGAGCCTCTCCTGCATGCTGCACCAGAGCCTCTCCTGCATGCTGCACCAGAGCCCAACAACGTACTTGTGGTGTGTCCCTAAATCATCCTCCAGCTCCTACGTCCAGGTGAACTGATTCTGCTTTCACCCCAAAACCAATCTGGACACAGACCAAAGAGCCTCAAGGCTTTCCAAAAGAACCCACTTGCCTGGAATTATTACTGAGTGATGTATAACTTGCCTGAGATTTTGCAGAGAAGCTGAAACTGCCTTTGCAAAAATTATAACAGAAAACTATGGTAGTAAAAGAGATCTGATCTAACCCACCCCCCATCTTGTCTTCCCCTTAATTATTTCTGGGCTTTGTGGCTGAGCTAACTTCAGAAGACATTTAGGTTAGAGCTTAAATGATGATAGCCCTTCCCCCAAGTTCTACAGCCTCTGTAAAGCTAATGAAAGGCCATCAGGGCAGGGGAGGAGAGGAGCCTGGTTCTGCCAAGGTGTGGACTGGTCAGGAGATACTCCTGCAAATAACAGCATTGTGGTAGATGGGCCTGTTGAGAAATCTTTTCAGGATTTTTGCATGTGTGACACGCACGGCTCCACCTGGACCTGATGGCTCTGCCTAAACCCACCAACCCCACCCTTGTGGCCCCACCCAGAAGTGACTCAGTGGGCAGGAGGACAGCTTCAACCCCCTGTGATTTCATCTCTGTCCCAACCCACCAGCAGTAAGCACTCATTACCTGGCCACCTCTACCCCTTCCCTAAAACGGCCTTTGAAAGCCCCCTAACCCAGGAGCCTGAGATGATATTGATTTGAGTAATGACTCTGTCTCCTACGTGAGGTGGTTGGCCTTGTGTCTATTAAACTCTTTCTTTCTTTCTTTCTTTTTGAGACAGAGTCTCACTCTGTCACCCAGGCTGGAGTGCAGTGGCTCACTGCAACCTCCGGCTCCCGGGTTTCCGCCATTCTCCTGCCTCAGCCTTCCGAGTAGCTGGGACTACAGGCACCTGCCACCATGCCCGGCTAACTTTTTGTACTTTTTTTTTTTTAGTAGAGATGGGGTTTCACCATGTTAGCCAGGATGGTCTCGATCTCCTGACCTTGTGATCCACCCGCCTCGGCCGCCCAAAGTGCTAGGATTACAGGCGTGAGCCACTGTGCCCAGCCTAAACTCTTTCTTTATTGCTATGCTGTGGTCTTTGTTTGTGCAGCAGACAGGAAGAACACATCAGGCAATTACAAAGCCAGAGAAAGGGGATTGTGTGTGATGCTCAACGCCCAATACCTACAAATTGTCCATACCAGCAAGGAGGTGGCTCCTCTCTTCCCAGAATTAGCCTCCTTGTCACCTCTTTCCCATTTTATGCTGAGCAGTTTATTTCTGCCCTGGCTTCTGTCCCCAAATGTGTATACTAAAACTTACCTAAGTGCTCAACAAATCAAAATCCCCTCTCATCAATCATTCCTACCCTTAGAAGACTATTGAGAAACTATCCTTTGTCTTTGAGCATGTTCACGGGAGTCTTATACTAAAATATTTCTTCCAAACAAATACAATACTTTCCCCAAGGGCCTTATGGTTGATTACATTTTCTCCATCACACCAGCATCTAGAAGTGGCCTCTGCCCTGCCAACAACATTCTTCTGACCCTCTCCTCGGTGACACACGGGCTTTGCAGTCCTTTTCACACTTTATCACCAAAGCCACACAAGGAATATTTCTCCTTCACTCTTGACATATTAAATGGCCAGCGTATTCCAACAATTGTTCCAGGGTGCAGGCCTCCTCTAGGCCATGGACTATTTGCTTTGCAGTTAACTAGAAACATGATGCAGTGCCGCGTAAGGCAAATTAACTGGAAGAGCCTCCAAAGGCCATCTCAGCAGGGGAGAAGGTGAGCAAGTAGAGGGTAAGCCTCCCTCTGGTTATGCTTTCATCAGAGGATCTCTGGGAAAAAGAGAAAGATTTTTAAGTATTCTACATATAAAAGATCTATCACTATCCATTGCCTCATTTACCAATAATTAATTGATCATCTATTATATGCCAGGCAGTGAGCTTTATTGCCAAAAGGCGGGATAGGGGAAAACAAAGATAAATGAGATTGAACAAGTAAATTTGATGAGAAAATCATAGAGACAAGATCCATCGAGGAATAAAATGAAACTAACGACAGGTGGCTGGCACCTAAACTGACTTAAACGATATTATCAGGAATAGGAGACAGAGAAATGGCAAAAAGTGCACACATAGAGAAGCCAGAGCCTGACAGCGAAGGCTCTATCGGGTAACTTACCCAGAGAAGATGGAAAACCAGGCCCCTCCAGAACATGTGCTCTGGGAAGAGAATGGTTCCTGGGAGCTGAGCTAAGCAGAGGGCTGCTTGTTGTCTTTGATTCGTAGTTTCCTCACTTACAACATGAGGCCTGAGTGAGGATGTTATTCTTTGCAAATGCCAGTTCTTTTCGTAATTTGGGGCATGCTATGGTTTTTGTTCTTTAATTGCCTTCATATTCTTGATTTCAAGAAAAAGAAATGCAAAAGATTAGTCACGCATGTTATGAAAACTGTACTCTCCTGATGTATGCCCAGGAGTGTGGGACCACCATAAAGGTTTCCTAACTTATGAACTTACCAAATACTAACCACTTGGAGAAAGTGTAGGGACTAAGTGCACACCTTCCCTTGGAGGAAAGTTTCCCATTGGCATCAGCCTCATCTGGAAGAGGCTCAAAGACAGAAGTTGGCCCAGGGTGTGAGCTCCAATACAGCAGGGACTTTTTTTATCTCTTTTACTCAGTTGTGTGACGTGTGACCTCAGCTCCTAAAATACTGCTGGGTACACAGTAGGTGCTGAGTAACTATTTGTTGGATAGACACATAGATGGATGGATGGATGGATGGATAGGTGGATGGATGGATAAATGAGAGGATAGGAGGATGGATGGATAGGTGGATAGGTGGATCGATGGATAAATGAGAGGATAGGAGGATGGATGGATGGATTGATAGGTGGATGGATGGATGGATTGATAGGTGGATGGATGGATAAATGAGAGGATAGGAGGATGGATGGACGGATAGGTGGATGGATGGATAAATGAGAGGATAAGAGGATGGATGGATGGGTGACTAGGTGGATGGATGGATAAATGAGAGGATAGGAGGATGGATGGATGGGTGGATAGGTGGATGGATGGATAAATGAGAGGACAGGAGGATGGATGGATGGATGGATGGATGGATGGATGGATGGATGGATGGATAGGTGGATGGATGGATAAATGAGAGGAGGATGGATGGAGGAATGGATAGGTGGATGGATGGATAAATGAGAGGATAGGAGGATGGATGGATGGGTGGATAGGTGGATGGATGGATAAATGAGAGGATAGGAGGATGGATGGATGGATGGATGGATGGATGGATGGATGGATAGGTGGATGGATGGATAAATGAGCGGATAGGAGGATGGATGGGTGGACGAGTGGCAGTGACTGAGGCACGACTTCTCCTTGAGCTAGGACTCTCACATGCACATTTCATAATCTGCATTATTTGACCACAATTATATTGAATTTTAAGGTTTAGGCTTTTCTAACACAATTAGTATATTTTAATTTATTTCCTCTGAAGAGAGCAATCTAAGAAAAAAATGCAGCGATGGTGCAATAAGCCTGAATATCTAGCCACATTTATAAAATGTCCAACCTTAGAAGGCTAGAATGCCCTTAGCAGGATTCATACATTTTGTTGCAATATTATCAGCTTTTCTATAAGGCTCCTATCAGCATTTTCACTTGTCAAAATATGCAATCTTTTTTAAAAATATAATATAGAAAAAATTATAACTGACTTTATTTTTCCAGAAAAGCAGCAAATCCAGTTTTCAACTCTATGTTTTTCTTCAGCTAGAAGATTTTAGGAGCTTCCGATTCAAAGTGGCAATCCATCTACATTTTCAGTTTACTTTCTGAGCACTAATGTTTACTACAACACTTTCTGTTTTACAAAGAGATAGGGAAAATAGACACCTGTTACCCAAGAAGCAAGGCCGGGATTGAAACCTGCCAGATGTGGCTGGGCGCAGTGGCTCACGCCTGTAATCCCAGCACTTTGGGATGCCGAGGCCGGCGGATCATGAGGTCAGGAGATCGAGACCATCCTGGCTAACACGGTGAAACCCCATCTCTACTAAAAATACAAAAAATTAGCCGGGCGTGGTGGTGGGCACCTGCAGTTCCAGCTACTCGGGAGGCTGAGGCAGGAGAATGGCGTGAACCCGGGAGGCCGAGCTTGCAGTGAGCTGAGCTCGCGCCACTGCACTCCAGCCTGGGCGACAGAGAGAGACTCTGTCTCAAAAAAAAAAAAAAAAAGAAACCTGCCAAATGTTGTCCACAGACACCCTAGAAGTTTGGCCGACCACTGTGGTGCATAGGGGTAATAAGTGCTGAGAATGGGAGGTCTCGCACTGGCTCTTGGCATCAGTGACTGGACTTCTATGGCCTAGGAACTAGATTGCAGAAGTGTGTCACCGATGGGTCAAGCCACCCTTGGAAAGAAGATAATTCCTGTTTCTGTTCCACAGAGTAGACTTTAACTTTCCATCCTGGAAAACACATGGGATTCAACACTTGAAAGCACCTTAGTTCAGTTTTCCTCTTTATAAAGGACATGTGACCTGCATTCAGAAGGCTTCCTTTATACTGAAGCCTGTGGTTTATCTGTCGTCTGGCTTTCTATAAGTCACTTACCTTCTCTGCACCTGACTTTCCTCATCCAGACACGGAAGGTTAATTTTCTTAGTGATGTGGTACCGTGTGTTCCATGTGCACGAACTCTTTGTACCCATAGACTCTTCCCTTCCTGGCTCTCTTCCTCCCAGGGTTCTACCTTCTGGAGGAGATTGCATTAGGGGGTTGGAAAAAGGCAGAGATAATGAGGAAAAACAGGCAGACTCCCGAAGTGGGGAAGGGCAGGAAAAGCGGCAGGGCCCACCATCATGAGCCTGGGAGGGGGCAAGGCTGCAGAGGAACGTGCAGAAATGTGCCTAGGGAGGTGGAATCCCCGCCCCAGGGTCCCTGAGCAAGGACTCCTGAGCCCACACAAGGCATGGAAGCAATGACACCGCAGGCTTTCAAGGAGAAAATTCCCCAAAGGTTGAATCTGCATGAGAACCCTGGGAATCTAGGACATTTCTTTGAGTCTGGGAAAGCACCCCAATAACAACGGAGAACAAATTCCTAGTTGACACCATAGACCAGGGAATAGAGTGGAATCAAACCTCTGGAAGTGGGACTGATTTAAGGAGAACAACGGAGCAGGAGGTTTTGCAGGCAGGAATGTTGTAGTGAAACACTCAAACACTCGCACCTGCCAAGTGTAACTGGTGGACCAACACTGGACGCCACGGGCCTCCGGAAGATAAGCAGTAGGGAGCTGCAAAATCTAAAATGGCATGCAAACGTCTTCATTATTTGATGGTAAAACAGTCTGACAGACGTGCGTTTTTCGTCTTGTGCTCAGCAGTCTCTATGATGGCGAGGAGGGCATTCGCTAACCCAAGGACCTCTTCCAAGTTTCTCTGGGATGTTTTTAAGATGAAACACACTCCACAACAGAGTAGGGAAGTTTAAGAGGACTTGGCATTTTGAGATTAAATTGTCTCTACTAAAGGAAAAAAATATAAAACCTCAAACACAAATCAGGCAAAGTAGTAAGGCTTTAATTCAAAAGAGCAAAAACTTTCTGTTGAGCATTACAGGATTATGCTCTAAGAAGAAAATTGGCATCAGTCTCCAAAGTCTCACAGCCTGCTGGCCTAACTTACTACGAGGGATAGAGCTCATGGGCATCTGCTCATCTTACAACCAAACCTCTCCACGTAAAGTAATGCCGGCAACTGCTCACAGGAAATAAGAAACTGGATCCAAAACATTTGAAGTGTTTTTATTTGGACAGTGGGTGGGCGAGGGCAGGGATTGGATGGAATGCTGTGTGTGCGTGCACGCTGATGAGTTCCTTTGTAGATAACAGTTTAGTTTCAGTTTAAAAAAATATAGATATATATAAAGAGCAAGCAAGAGGGAGGGAGATCATCAGGAACTGTTTAGACTGAGAAAACTCCAGCAATCTGGTGCCACATGCATTTTCCAAGGGGATTTTCATATGAACCGGTCACGTCCAACGTGTCCTCTGTGGCAGTGCCTCCCCCACGCAGACAGCCCACACACAGGACTTTAATGATCTGGGGCACATTCCTTTACTGCTCTGTCTCAAAAAAAATGTATAAGGTGCCTAACAGATGATAGATCTACAGCAGACAAAACCAGTGACTGCCCCTGGCAGGAGCCCGTGAACCACATCAGCCACAGGTGATCTCCACGTGGCTCACCTTTCTGATCCTTCAGAGAGCACACACTAGAAAATGCCTCCTCAGAGCACTGAGAAGGGCAAAGCCCCCAGGCTTCAACATTCTGGGACATTCCGGGAGCTCTGTGGAAGGAGAAGAACTGAAGCCAGCCTTAGGTCCAGTTTCTGTCTCTCAAAAGTAAACTCACTTAACATGTTCTCCTGGTACAGGACATGCTTCGTTTCTCTAACTGCCCTGTGTTAAGAAGTCTCCTTCTCAGATGCGGTTAAAATCTAGCCTCAAAATCAGAAAGCAGAAGCTCTCAACCAGAAAGTGAGAGCAAAGATATGCTCATCAAATCGTGCATTTGCTACAAGACACAAAGCTCACTCTTTCTCGTTGGACAGGAGCAAGTGATAGCGTTCTGAAGGTAGATAGCATTCAGAGGGCAAATGGCAGAATTTACCTAGGAAAAGGAGGATGACCAATATCTTCTCATTGCATCTTCAACACAGCCACCAAAAGACAGGGATGGAAGAAACTTCCCTGGCCCCAGAAAGGATGTTTTCAGATGGAGAGTCATAGGATACACTTAATTTGGCAGAGGTTGAGGACTTCTCTCATGCATGTTGGTCAAATTATGAGAAAAATTATTCTAAATTAAGTAGACAGAACCTAACTAGTTCACTGTTCAACTTCTTTGGCCTCCTGACCTGGGGGTGCAGGGTTTGGGTTGAGGATACTCACACTTACTGGAAACCTACGTTGTATAGATTGACAAGCCGTGACCTGGCTTTGTCCTGCTCCTCTGAATGGGAAATCAGCCCAGTTAGATTTGCTACAGAATAAACCAACAAGAGTTAGTGATTTCCAGCAATCATCTGGTTAGCAGCTTGGGCTGGACTAGGCCAGGCCATGCTGCTGCTCTGGGCCAGGCTCACTCACGTACCTGAAGCCCACCAGCCGGCTGAAACTGGCAATGAGTCAGCCTGCACTGGTCACAGGGGGCCTGAGTGGGCTCCAGGGAAGCCTCATCTCAAAGCCCAGCCTGGACATTTCTGGCACATTTTATTGGCTAGAATAAGTCCACAAAGTCAAGTGATAGTGAATAGTCCTTCCTCCCTGAGCTGCAAAGTCACAATGCAAAAGAGTGTAGCTGCAAGGAGGGGAGTAATTTGCAGCCATTTTGGCAATTACTGCAAAAATGAGAAAAGCCACCTGTATTCATTTGCCAGGCTCGCCATAACAAAATACCACAGACTGGCTGCTGCAAACTACAGAAATGTATTTTCCCACAGTTCTGGTGGTTGGAAGTCTAAGCTCAAGGCATCCGCAGGGTCAGTTTTGCTGGCCTCGGCTTAGCCTGCAGACAGGGCCATCTCCCTGTGTTCTCACACGGTCCTTCTTCTGTGTATCTCTGGTATCTCTACATGTCCTAATCTCCTCTGCTTATGAGGATACCAGTTAGATAGGTCCACCCCAACAGCTTCATTTTAAATAAATTACCTCTTTAAAGGCCTATCTCCAAATAGTCATACTCTAAGATATTGAGGGTTAAGGCTGAATTCTGGGAGAACACAACTCAGGCCAATACACCACCAAAATCAGAAACAATCAAAGATGTGGGAGTGTCATCCTTATGGGGCATAGTCAGTAATAGTATCATACTGTAACAGTACATTGGTGATGGGAGATAAAAATGAAATTTTTTTTATTATACTTTAAGTTCTGGGGTACATGTGCAGAACGTGCAGGATAGTTACATAGGTATACACATGCCATGGTGGTTTGCTGCACCCATCAACCCATCATCTGCATTAGGTATTTCTCCTAATGCTATCCCTCCCCTACGCCCCCACCTCCTGACAGGCCCCAGTGTGTGATGTTCCCCTACCTGCGTCCATGTGTTCTCGTTGTTCAACTCCTACTTATGAGTGAAAACATGCAGTGTTTGGTTTTCTGTTCTTGTGTTAGTTTGCTGAGAATGATGGTTTCCAGCGTCATCCATGTCCCTACAAAGACATGAACTCATCCTTTTTTATGGGTGTATAGTATTCCATGGTGTATACGTGCCACATTTTCATTATCCAGTCTATCATTTATGGGCATTTGGGTTGGTTCCAAGTCTTTGCTATTGTGAACAGTGCCACAATAAACATATGTGTGCTGTGTGCATGTGTCTTTATAGTAGAATGATTTATAATCCTTTGGGTATATACCCAGTATTGGGATTGCTGGGTCAAATAGTATTTCTAGTTCTAGATCCTTGAGGAATCACGATACTGTCTTCCACAATGGTTGAACTAATTTACACTCCCACTAACAGTGTAAAAGCATTCCTATTTCTCCACATCCTTTCCAGTATCTGTTGTTCCCTGACTTTTTAATGATTGCCATTCTAACTGGCATGAGATGGTATCTCATTGTGGTTTTGATTTGCATTTCTTTAATGACCAGGCATGATGAGCCTTTTTTCATATGTTTGTTGGCTGCATAAATGTCTTCTTTTGAGAAGTCTGTTTATATCTTTTGCCCACTTTTTGATGGGGTTGTTTTTTTTTTTCTTGTAAATAAGTTTAAGTTCCTTGTAGATTCTGGATATTAGCCCTTTGTCAGATGGATAGATTACAAACATTTTCTCCCATTCTGTAAATTGCCTGTCACTCTGATGATAGTTTCTTTTGCTGTGCAGAAGCTCTTTAGTTTAATTAGATCCCATTTGTCAGTTTTGGCTTTTGTTGCAATTGTCTTTGGTGTTTTAGTCATGAAGTCTTTGCCCATGCCTATGTCCTGAATGATATTGCCTAGGTTTTCTTCTAAGGTTTTTATGGTTTTAGGCCTTACATTTAAGTCTTTAATCCATCTTGAGTTAATTTTTGTATAAAGTGTAAGGAAGGGAACCAGTTTCAGCTTTCTGCATATGGCTAGCCAGTTTTCCCAGCACCATTTATTAAATAGGGAATCCTTTCCCCATTGCTTGTTTTTGTCAGGTTTGTCAAAGATCAGATGGTTGTAGATGTGTGGCATTATTCCTGAGGCCTCTGTTGTGTTCCATTGGTCTATATATCTATTTTGCTGTTTTGTTAATAGCACCATGCTGTTTTGGTTACTGTAGCCTTGTAGTATAGTTTAAAGTCAGGTAGCATGATCCCTCCAGCTTTGTTCTTTTTGTTTAGGATTGTCTTGGCTATGCGAGCTCTTTTTTGGTTCCATATGAAATTTTTTTTTTTTTTTTTTTTTTTTTGAGACAGAGTCTCGCTCTGTCGCCCAGGCCGGACTGCGGACTGCAGTGGCGCAATCTCGGCTCACTGCAAGCTCCGCTTCCCGGGTTCACGCCATTCTCCTGCCTCAGCCTCCCGAGTAGCTGGGACTACAGGCGCCCGCCACCGCGCCCGGCTAATTTTTTTTTGTATTTTTAGTAGAGACGGGGTTTCACCTTGTTAGCCAGGATGGTCTCGATCTCCTGACCTCATGATCCACCCGCCTCGGCCTCCCAAAGTGCTGGGATTACAGGCGTGAGCCACCGCGCCCGGCCCCATATGAAATTTAAAGTAGTGTTTTCCAATTCTGTGAAGAAAGTCAATGGTAGCTTGATTGGGATAGTATTGAATCTACAAATTACTTTGGGCAGTATGGCTATTTTGACGATATTGATTCTTCCTATCAATGAGCATGGAATATTTTTCCATTTGTTTGTGTCCTCTCTTATTTCCTTGAACAGTGGTTTGTAGTTCTCCTTGAAGAGGCCCTTCACATCCCTTGTAAGTTGTATTCCTAGGTATTTTATCCTCTTTGTAGCAATTGTGAATGGGAGTTCACTCATGATTTGGCTCTCTGTTTGTCTGTTATTAGTGTATAAGAATGCTTGTGATTTTTGCACATTGCTTTTTTATCCTGAGACTTTGCTGAAGTTGCTTATCAGCATAAGGAGATTTTGGGCTGAGATGATAGGGTTTTCTAGATATACAATCATGTCATCTGCAACACAGACAATTTGACTTCCTCTTTTCCTACTTGAATACCCTTTATTTCTTTCTCTTGCCTGATTGCCCTGGCCAGAACTTCCAACACTATGTTGAATACGAGTGGTGAGAGAGGGCATCCTTGTCTTCTGCCGGTTTTCAAAGGGAATGTTTCCAGTTTTTGCCCATTCAGTACGATATTGGCTGTGGGTTTGTCATAAATAGCTCCTATTATTTTGAGATATGTTCCATCAATGCCTAGTTTATTAAGAGTTTTTAGCCTGAAGGGATGTTGAATTTTGTCGAAGGCGTTTCCTGCATCTATTGAGATAATCATGTGGTTTTTGTCATTGGTTCTGTTTATGTGATGGATTATGTTTATTGACTTGCCTATGTTGAACCAGCCTTACATCCTAAAGATGAAGCTGACTTGATTGTGGTGGATAAGCTTTTTGATGTGCTGCTGGATTTGGTTTGCCTGTATTTTATTGAGGATTTTTGCATGATGTTCATCAAGGATATTGGCCTGAAATTTTCTGGGTTTGTGTGTATGTGTGTGTGTGTGTGTGTGGTGTCTCTGCCAGGTTTTGGTATCAGGATGATGCTGGCCTCATAAAATGAGTCAGGGAGGATTCCCTCTTTTTCTATTGTTTGGAATAGTTTCAGAAGGAATGGTACCATTTCCTCTTTGTACCTCTGGTAGAATTTGGCTGTGAATCTGTCCGGTCCTGGACTTTTTTTGATAGGTAGGCTATTAATTAAAAACAAAATCTTAAATACAAAGAACAGAAGCCAGCACAGCACCGTCTTTATCAACTGCAGCTTGAATGCAGTGGTTCACCAGTTTTTCACATCCCAAATCCCCTGAGACCTTCTACTGTACTATTCACATCTATTTAATGTCACCCTCTTCCTGCCATGTGGTCTACCTCCTCTCCTGAAAAATACCATCCACCGAAGCAGAGCTTAAATCAAAGGACACAGAGTGTAATGCACTTGTCTAATACAATTGCTTTCTAGGCCTGATGTAAGTTGTTTGAAACCCAGTGGTACCCGGTCACCTTTGGCCTAGTTAAAACTTTTCCTCTCCGTGTGATTGTTTGAGATAAAACCTGTTTGTTCTTCATCCCACTGACCCAAAACTCTGCAAAGCCCACAGCTGCTGACCATGATAAAACATAATGGTCAGCCCGAGTCATGTAAATAAGCTCTTCCCCTTGCATGTGCAATCCACAACCCCCACAGGAAGGCCCAAGGGATCACGTCCATGGCTTAGTCCCACAGGTCCCCACTCTCTCTCTCCTTCTCTCTCTCACCCACCACCCATCACTTGAGCTCCCTGCCACCTGCAAACTTCCCGTTGGTCTCCTGCTGGCACCCCTAACCTCTCTGTACCTGTGAGTAATAAATTTTGTCTGTTTCATGCATTCTGTTTTCACTTTCTCATTGTGTCTCACCAGACCCACATGTGCAATTCCCACATCAGGGTTCTCCTAAAAATGGCTGTCTTGGCTTAGGGTCACTCTCAAGAGAGACACCTCAAGACCAAATTAGAAAGAAACTGTAAGAATCACAACACTGGGGAATCTCAGAATTCTTTAAACCTGGAGTATCCTTAAGGAATCAGGAGAGCCCAGGTACATGTGGAGTATCCGCTATGCTCAAGGCAAATGCTCGGGCGATGCAAGAATCCAAGCCAGGCAGAGACGATGGGTCCTCCCAGCCCCCCAGGTACATAGAGAACAGATGGAGAATCACAGGGCCCCTCTTAGAGCTGTGGTTTCTGGGTAGGAAACCTCAGGAGTGTTTTGTTTGTTGTTTGTTTGTTTGTTTGTTTGTTTGTTTTTTAATGAAACAATTGCATCCTTGCGGCTAAAGGTCAAAATGAACCTGGGAATAAGGAGGTTTGACCCGCTCTGAGAATAAATTCATTTTTTGTTGAAAAGATATTCCCTTGGTGCTGTTAAGGACCTCTGAATATGTCCTCTGCCCCTCTGGGTGTTCAGTTCCAAGTAACCCTTCTTGCCATGTGCATTTGGGACAGGCATGGGCATGGAATCTGATATGCTCTTTTCCCTGTAAGTCTTAAAAAACATCTGCTGCTCTAATAACTAAGCCTGCAAGTTGCCAAAGCAAAATACAATACGAGGAAATAGAGCCCAGCGTTTGTCCCAGATCTGCTTTCTCATTTTTGCAGCAATGCCAGCCTTGTTTGATCAACATGGGAGAGCTGCTGTTGATTCATGCACCTCGCTCTTCCTCGTTTCTACTTAGAAAGAGCTTCGAGGAAGTTGGCCAAATACCTTAAGTCAATGCCTTGCTATTATGAACAGGAGAAGCAACGATGGAGAAAAGAGGGGTCCATATGTCATATAGTCATAAATGTTGGAATAAAATTAATGCTTCTTTTCTCTCTCAGTGAAACTCTATTTACATTTTAGCCTAACTCAATATACGTCCATACATGTGAAGTGCATAGAAGAGATTTTTCTTCTCCTTTTTGTCTTCCAGGGAAGCATGGCGGCATCAGTCCATAAAACGTGGTGATAGAGAAGGGAATCTCTTTGTAATCAGCAAAGCTCAGGGAACAGGAATATAGCACAGATCCATTCTGAGCCTGAGTAGTGAGAAAACGGAGACACACAGAGCGAGCTTGCTTCTAATAGCTGGATTCTATCCACACTTAACTTTTTAAAGATGTTTTCCTTATTTATGAATTTTATAGGTGGGCCACATTGAAACTATGGAAAAGACATGTACATCTAAAAGCATTCTTAAGTATCAGTCACCCTGTATCCATTATTGGTGAGCTGGGGGTTGGGCTTGTCACTTCGTAAGACTATGTTTCCTCTCCCACTTCCAGTGGAGTCCCCACATTTCTATATAAATGGACTTCAAAGGACTCGAGGCTGGTGTGACCCACAAATTAATATTTTTCATGTAATACATTTGGTAAACTCACAATCACATAATAGATATACTTAATTAGAATGTTATATCAACATGCAAACATAGCCATAAGGTTTCTACACATCTTATTGGCTTATGATGACTTAAGTCTTTTTTATAGGTGGTTTTTGTAGATACTCAGTAAGGCATTCTAAAATATGCCCAGTCCCACTGTCTCCACTGCATGGTGTCTGAGGAATGCTGAACGTGTCCGTCGTTCGAGAGTACACAGTGCCAGGCATCGGTCTGTGGGCAGCCCAAAGACTTGGAGTATTCTCACAATGGGGAGAGGGAGAGAAGCAAACTATTGTGGGTTCTGGGGAAAGCAGGTGCAATGGATGCCAGTAGCTGAAGATCAAGTTGCCGAGCAGCCCAGAGGAGAGCCGCCCTGATATGCCGCCCACAGGAGCTTGATCCTCAAAGATTATGTGAGTCAAGAACAGACACTTCAGCCAGGGAACCAATCTCTTGCTTGGACCTGCTTTCTATACCATGTGATGTCTCAAAACCAGAGCAAGACTGTCATGAGCCCTGTGGGGAATGGTGCCTGCACTAACCACGCATTCGTGTTTCTAAGTGGCGGGCATAATGTTGAAAGTTCTCTGCATTCATTCACTCCCTCCTGACGCTATGCAATAGGACTTCTTAGTGGCTAACACTGACTGGTATTCTTTTAATCTCTTACTCTCACTTTCTTCTCCTGAAAGACTTCTTCAGCAAAGGTGTGACCAGATAACAAGTAGCAACAACCACGTTTGAAAATGGAAAGCAACTCTGCGTGGGGTAAATACACCCTATGTCAATATCCAAGAGTTAATCCACCTTATTTAGGAAAAGATGAAGCCTTACAGAGTAGAATAGACAGACATCCAACTAACATTCCCAGAGGCAGTATCACATGTCTGGCACTGAGAAAGAATGCCCTTCCCTGCCTGGCCTTGTGGGGATACTCCCGAGACCTCCAGACTTACCACTCTGCACCGCAGTCCCGGATCCTCTCCTGGCCCCTGTGGCTAACAGGTGTGTTTCCTGACGTCTCTGCAGATTTCCACCTCCACTTCCATCTGGATACTTCGAGTCTCTCAACCTCTGGCCGCGGCTGCCCTCCTACAGCCAGGTTCATCTCTCTTTCAGTCTCAAATAAACATGAACAGTGCTCAAGGTGCCAGCTCAGTAGACCTCTCCTACCTATACCAGGAAAGCCCCCCATGCAATATGTCCTGGTGTTATTTTAAACTGGATACAAAAGGGCAATAGAGCCTTCCTTCCTGAGTTGGGAGGAGCCACAGATCACCTTGTGTAGGCTTTCATAGGGTACAACAGCCACAGGATAACAATGGTATGTTGCCACAAGTTATTAGACGGGTGAATGGATTCTCCCATGTAACAAAAGCAATAGTTGTTAAAGGTTTTCACCTTGTGCTAAGAACATCAAACAGGGATATAGTTGGCAGCCTCTGAGATGAATCCCAACGATCCTTGGCCCCTGATATTCTCGCCGGGTGTAGTTTCCTTCCACGTTGTGCTAAAGGTGGTGACCAATAACACACAGCAGAAGAGATGCTATGTCATTTCTAAGATTATGTAATTAAAAAAGACTGTGACTTCTGTATTGGATTCTCTTTCTCTCTTTCCCTCCCCACTTGTTTGGAGGTAAGCCTGCTGATCTGCTGGGAGAGACCCACATGGTGAGGAACTGAAATCTCCAGCCAGCAGCTAGCAAGAATCCAAGGTCCTGCCAGCAAGCACGTGACTGAACTCAGAAGCCCAGTTGGGTCTTCAGATGTCACTGCAGCCTTGGCCAATGGCTTGACAGCAACTGCATGAGAGACTTGAGCCAGAACCACCCACTGAGATGCTCCCAACTTCCTGACCCATGAAACTGGGAGATAACAAACGTTTGTTGTTTAAAACTGCTAAATTTAAGACAGCAATAATCTGTTATGTGGCAATAGATAGCTAATACAATGAATTAATGTCAGCCTCCTAATTGTTTCAGGCAACTTATGACGATATCTTATCATTACTTAATGTTACTCTTAATAAAATTGTTCTTTCACTCATTATTTTATGTCTTATCTATCCAACCAGATTATTTGGACTTTCTGAGCAGACACAACTGTTTAACCCAAAATGAGATGGATACACCATGCAAAAAGAATGCTGATAAATATTTGTCCATTGATTGCTTTGTAAAATCACATGTGAAACCACAGTGTCATCTGCAAAATGCTGAATGAGCCAGCATGATAGGACCACATGGGGCGGATGTCTGGGGGTGTTTCCCTGCATCCTCCCTCTTACTCTGACCAACAGCACTCCTTTCCAATCTCAGCCATTTGTCATTGGTGGGTCCTAATAAGCTCTAACCAGCCCCGGGCTGCAATGGGACATACCCTTGACTTATTTGCAGAGGCTAAATTTAGGCTGGTGAGAGAGAGGACTTGTGCAGGAGCTTCTGTGAAGATTCCTCTCATTTCCTCCAGAACTTTGGGGCAAGACTTTGGGACTCCTGGCTGCTGGGCAGCCATGAGTGGACCTAAGAGGGAAGTCAATTGGGGAGACAGAGCAGCCAAAATGACAGCTTCTGAGGTGCTGGATTACACCTCATTTAAAGTCAGGACTGTCTATCTCAGCTCCTTCTGCCTATAAATGCTTATTTTCCTCTCTCTCTCTCTCACTGAATCCATTTCTGGCCAGGATTTTCTATAACTTGTTACTGAAGTGGACATAACTAATTTACATCACCTAAAGTGTTCTGGATGTATGTAATGCTGTGTTAGATATGAAATACCTCATTCTAGAACTTTCTAAACCTTTTTACCTCAAGAAATGTGTGGGCTCAACATGATGGTGTCCTTTTACTAACTGATGATTAAGCAAATGACAGCAGTATTAAAGTTGTGTGTATTTTATTCATTACAGTAGCATCTTTAGCCAAGAAGAAAATAATAACGCATCCAAACATAGGGTGATGGTTATTCAGCCTCTAGGAGGTACTCAGAGCTCATGAGATTTTCAGTATTTTCATTTTGTGGCCTCATCCCTCTAGAAATACAAGACAAATAAAGTAAAATTTGGAGACTAGGCCAGAATAAGGGTAGAGGTAGGTTAAAATAGAGAGTTTGAGAAATAAAGATTTATCAAGATATCCTTTGCTGCTAACACACAACCACAGGTACTTTCCCAAAGGAACTGCAGGCCTGAGCCAGGCACAGGGCTGTCAGATGAGACTTTGCCATTTTCCCTGGAAATACCTCTCAGTGCAGACAAGAGGGTGCACACACCTGAAGCTTGAGGGAGTGAAGCCAGAGCTAGAAGTTGGTGCTTCGCCTTAAAAAATCACGTGAGTTTCTCATTGTCTCATATTATATTTAATAGGTATACACTTGGCATTAGAAATTTAAATCTTCTTGTCTTTTTTCTTAATTGGCAAAATGCTAAGTGAAGAGAGCTAATGTCATATATCATGTCATTTAATTAGACATTTGTCTAAGAACAGAAATATTTAAACCACCATGTTCATAAAATTACATCCTTACCACTCCATTCACCTATTGAAGGATACGTTGGGTGGCAATTATGAATAAACCTGCTCTATGTGCAGGTTTTTGTGTGGATGTAGGTTTTCAACTCATTTGAAATCCCAAGGAGTGTGATGCTGAATCATATGTTATGAACTGAATTGGGTCCCTGCTCCCTGCCCAATTCATCTGTTGAAGTCATAACCCCTAATGTGACTGTATTTGGAGATAGGGCCTTTAAGGAGGTAAGGTTAAATGAGGTCATTAGAGTGAGGCCCTAAGCCCATGGGATTGGTGTCTATACAAATAAGAAGAAACACCTGCTATCCCCCACCCCCAGACCCCCACCCACCCAGGCACACGCAGAGGAAAGGCCACATGAGGACACAGCAAGAAGGCACCATCTGCAAGCTGAGGACGGAGGCCTCACCGGGAACCAGCCCTGCTGACACCACCATCTTGGACTTCCAGCCTCCAGAACTTGTAAGAACCTAAGTTTCTGTTGTTTAAGCCACTTAACCTGTGGTACATTTTTATGGCAGCTCAAGTGGACTAATCTAACACATGGGGTAAGACCATTTACTTACTGTAAATTCCCGCCAGCAATGAGAGTTCATGCTATCTCATTGTTGTTTTAATTTGCAATTCCCTAATGACATATGATGTTGACCATCTTTTCATATGCATACTTGCCATCTGTATATATATATATATACATATATATATATATATGTATGTATCTATCTATATATATATAGGTATCTATCTATATATATATAGGTATCTATCTATATATAGGTATCTATATATATGTATATATAAGCCATCTATATATATACTTATAAATATATAGGGGGTGTGTGTGTATATATATACATATATATACATATGATGTGTTTTTTCACATCTCTTTGGGTTGTTTTGCTTCTTTTTGTTGAGTTTTAGGAGTTATTTGTGTATTTTGGATACCAGCTCTTTAGCACATATGTCTTTTGCAGATATTTTCTCCCAGTCTGTGGCTTGTGGGCACTGTTAAAACAATTTTTCATTCCCTTCATACAGGTTTCTATAAAATTGAGATATAAACACATATCATAAAATTCACCTTTATAAAATGTACGATTTCAGAGGTGTTTAGTATATTCACGAAGCTGTGCAACCATCACCACAATCTAATTTCAGAACATTTTTATCACCCCCCAAACCAACCCCATGCCCAGGAACACTTACTCCCATTTCACCTCCCCCTAGTCTTTCAGCAACCACTCACATGCTCCCTAACCCTATGGATTTGCTTATTCTGGAGTTTATATGCTGGAATCATGTAGTTACTGCTCATCTGACTCACTGATTTCACATCCCATTAGAACCATAGTTTTTAATCAAACAATTAGCTGCATCTTCAGTGAAAACAAATGGTTTTAGGCTATTTCCTTCTTTGACAAGAGTTAAAATTCCCAAGCCATGGAGTAGCTCAGGTCCCTGCAGCTCGCCGCCAAGTCTGTGAGAAACTCTGTCCCTGTCAGTGGCATTTTTGGGAGGAGGGGCATGTTTCCTGCCTAGTGAACCTCTCATCAAGTTCCAGTCCAAATAAAGCTGAAAGAGTCTTCAGATCGGGAGGCCGGAGGGCGGGGAGCTTCTGGTGAGAGCGAGGAGCTTCTGGTGAGAGCGACTCTGTCCATTTGTTGTTTCTAGTATGGGGCTTGCCAATCAAAGGAGCAAGTAAGCCAGGCCTAGCCCTGCACAGACTAAACAGCCAAAGGGCTGAGGATGGGAATTTGCTTACAAAGGGATTTCCTGCGTGGCTTAGAGGTCAGTGGCAGCGAGAAAAATTTAGTGGAGGGGCTTATTCTATGACTCAACATATGTTCCCAAATGTAAAACCCCAGACTTGCATGTGAAGCTGTAAGCAGGACACCCAGGAGGGGGGACCCTTCACTTTACCTCCACCGGTAAAGGTTCATCGCCAGCAAAATATCACACTGAGACAGGAAAGGGATCCCAATTCAGACCCCAAGAGAGGATTCTTAGATCTCACGCAAGAAAGAATTTGAGGCGAATCCATAAAGTGAAAGCAAGTTTATTAAGAGAATAAAGCAATAAAGGATGGCTACTCCATAGGCAGAGGAGTGGGATGGTCTGCTCAGCTGCTTATACTGATCGTTACTTCTACATTATACACTAAACAAGGTGTGGATTATTCATGAGTTTTCCAGGAAAGGGGTGGGCAATTCCCAGAACTGAGAGTTCCTCCTTTTTTTTTTAGACCATATAGGGTAACTTCCTGACGTTGCCATGGCATTTGCAAACTGTCATGGTGCTGCTGGGAGTGTCTTTTACTAACAGCGTGCTAACGCATTATAATTAACATATAATGAGCAATGAGGACAACCAGAGGTTACTGTGGTCCCACCTTGGTTTTGGTGGGTTTTGGCCGGCTTCTGTACTGCAACTTGCTGTATCAGCAAGGTCTTTGTGACCTGTATCTTGTGCCGACCTCCTATCTCATCCTGTGACTAAGAATGCCCGACCTCCTAAGAAGGCAGCCCAGTGCCTCTCGGCCTCATTTTACACAGCTGCTACTCAAGATGGAGTTCCTCTGCTTCAAACACCTCTGACAACACCACACGGGACACTGTACCTAGGTGTCCTGCAAAGCAACAAAACTAGATCGCATTCCCAACTGCTCGGGGCTGTATCTTTTAAGTTAAAAGAAGAAGAGAGCACATACCACGGTATGGTGCTCAGAGAGATTAGACCAGAATTTGCCTGTTCTTTTGTCAGTTTGTTTTTAAGTCGAACTGATTACTAGCAGAACTGTTTGACTAGATTTTAGTTCTTATCAATGATCAAAAATTCATTTCTTACAGAGCTGAAATAAATTGCCACAGAAAATAGTCCAAAATCACCAAGTTATCCTATAGTTAAAACATGTAAACACTGGGAGGGTAGACACTAAAAATCAGGACTTTGACTTTGGAAATTCTGAGATAAATGAGAAGCTCTCATTAGTAGGAGTAACTATCAAGAGTAACTAATTAGAATACATAATTGTGCTTTTACCAATACCTACAATCAAGGACAGTGATTCTTAAATAACCCTGGGACTTCTAAAGTATATGAAACCAATATGCCACCGTAAGAACCAACAATGGCTTACAAAAAGGAAAAATAAAAATTTGAGTTATGCAGTAACTGTAATAAATTTCGAAAGAAATGCCAGTAAAACATGTCATATGGGTTGGGGAGTTGGCCCATGAGTTGAGCAGACTAGAATCTTCCCACGGCGGCCACTTACCTTCTCCCGTAGACTCGACCTACCTGCCTGGGCAACATGGCATGTCAATAAAACATCTTCCAGAGTGGTGCATTTGTCGCAATCCATAAGCCAACATTGACACGTCATTGTTACCCAAAGTACATTAGATGTCACTCTTGGTGTTGTGCATTCTATGGGTTTAGACAAATATATAATGAATGTATCCACAATTATATTAATACTATCATACAGATCAGTTTCACTGCCCTGAAAATCTCCCGTAATCCTGTTCAGCCCTCCTTTCTCCTCCCTCCCCAGTCCTGAGCAAACTACCAATCTTTTTACTCTCCCCACAGTTTTGCCTTTTCCAGAATGTCACATAGTTGAAATCATACAGTTTGGAGCCTTTTCAGATTGGGTTATTTCACTTAGCAATGTGCTGATTCCTCCATATCTTTTCATGACATGATAGTTAATTTTGATTTTAGTGCTGAATAATATTCCATTGTCTGGTGGTGCCACAGTTTATTAATCTGTTCACCTGCTGGAGGACATATTGACTGCTTCCAAATTTGGAAAATTATGCATAAAGGGCAGCTATAAACATCCACATGTGGGTTTTTGCATGGACACAAGTTTTCAACTCATTTGGGTAAATGACAAGGAGCATGATTGCTGGATCATATAGTCAGGGTACTTTCAGTTTTGTTAGAAACCACTAAACTATTTTGCAAAGTGGTTGTACCATTTTGCATTCCCATGGGCCATAAATGAGAGTTCCCGTTGCTCCACATCCTTGCCAACATTTGATATTGTCAGTGTTTTGGACCTTATAATAGCTGTGTAGGTGTATCTCTTGTTGTTTTAAATTAAAATTCCCTAATGGCATATGAAGTAGATCATCTTTTCCTATACTTACTTGTCATTTGTGTATCTTCTTTGGTGAAGCTGCTGTTCAGATATTTCCCTGTTTTTTTTATGGGAACTCTCCATACTTTCACTAAATTTTGCTGTAAAGTTAAAAACAGCTATAAAAAAACTACTTAAAAATTTAAATAATTCTAAGAGGGACAAAAAATACAAAATATAATAAAATTCAACTGACTTTTCAACCAGACCAGTGCCTCACATCTAAATGAATATTGTGCCACCAATCCAGTATTGTGTCTTCAAACTAGAGAATTATGAAAACATCATGAATAATAATTTTTGAAGTTTCTATTTTTAGTAAACATTTGATTTACTTGTCAAAACATAATTTCCCCTGAAAGCCTTCTTGAACTCTTCTGAGCTGAGTGAGCGACTTTTCTCTCTGATCTGAGAGCATCCTGGGCATACGCATCACAGAGGTTTCCCACTGTGGAGTGATGGTGGGGTTCCTGTCTGGCTCTGCTAGAAGACTTTGAGCTCCTGGAATGTAAGGTCAGCAACTTGCTTCTCTCTGTCTCCCAAGGGCCTAGCAAAGAATCTACTAAATAACTGCTTATTGGGTTAATAACTGAGTAAATGCATTTATGTACATGCATAAATGCAGCTACAACTATGACTATTGTAATCACATCTTTCCCTAATTAATCTAAAAAAGCCAAAGCTGCTTCACACATGACTGAAACATGCTGCATGTTTAGGAAGCGATCTCTTCTACTGAAGAGCTTAGTGAAACTATTCTACATTGAATTAATCAGAGAGAAATACATATAATAAGTCACAGTGAATACATCATAAAGTGTCATGTAATATGTTAAATAATTCCTTTATTTACTGTAAAAGTCATTTTAATATATTTAAGTACGTAGCATCAGCTGCTAAGCAGAGGCTCTGCAGGGTCTTCACTAAAGAGCAATTTGTAATCAACTATTTGTGAAATTGTTCTCACAGGGTTAACAAGAATTACGTACTGGGTTCTGGACAGAAATATAATTATAATTAATCATCATCGGGCTGCACTTTGGTCCACTTTGTTGTAGCTAAAGGTCACTCAATGCTGACCATTTACATCCTCATTGTTCCTATATAGGAATCGTGTCTGACATTGGAATCATAAGGCTTTTGCTTCAGATTTACTTAAGATGTTCTTCAGACCCTGAATTCCACTGGGAATTGCTGATGCCAACCAGAGTGAAAATCCCCATGAGGAACCAAATCAGCATGAGAAGGCAGTTTCTTCATCCCCTCATCCCATAACTTCACCCTGCTCTCTTTGACCAGTCAACAATCCCCACATCCCATGACTTCACCCTGCTCTCTTTGACCAGTCAACAATCCCCACACCTTGGTCCATTCCAAACTCCTTAAAATCCCTAGCCCCGAATTCCTTGGAGAAGTGGATTTGAGGTTTCCTCCCATCTCTTTGTTCAGCTGTCCTAAGATTATTAAACTCTTTCTCTGCTGCAGTCCCCATTGTCTCAGTGTTTTGACTTGCCATGCAACTGTTTCTACAGAAGAAATTGAAAATATATATATATATCTATACATCTTTTTTGAAGCTCTTTATGCTACCAATATGCTAAGCAAATTGTTTTCTGATAAATAACTCCAAGGCAAATTTCAATTTGGTTCTGAAGGAATCATGAATTAAGGTAAATTAAATATTTGGTATTAATTAGCAAATATCAGAAAGAATGGGTTTGTAGAATATAACTATGGACAGAAACTAATTTGAATGACATAAATAATTCTCTAGTATATACTTTTGTGAGCTGATTTGTTTTACTTATTTACTTTTGGTTTGCTTTATTTTGAAAAGAAACAAACACATTTACATACCTTAGGTCTCTTAACGTTTTAAACAATATATAGCCTTCTTTGAAAAGAAAACTATTTTAACTGAGTTAGCTATCTCTGAATTAATAAATTCAAATGGCAACAAACTAAATTTAGCTTGGCTTGCTCTAAACAACTTTTCCCCCATAAAATCACTACATTAAAAGCCATGTATAACTGAACTAGTACAACCTAAAATAAAGCCCAATTTAAAAAAGTTAATTTTACAAGTCCTGACATAAACCTCAATCAGATCTTACAATTTTAACGTCCATCATTTGGACTGTAATGTAACAGAACCCAGAGGCTCTGGATTTGATGACAGGTCATTCTGTTACCAGTAGTGTGCTCTTATGTGAGTCACTTACCTTTGAGCTTTAGTTTCCTGACCTGCGAAATGTACATCATCAATGTCATCATGCATACTTTGCCTGGTGTAAGTAGACGTATTTGTTTATTGCCTAATATCCAGTAAAACACGGGCTAAGTGCACTGTGTTTTCCAAACTAGCCTGACAATAAGAACTGCCTAGCATACTTATTAAAAAATAAATAAAAGTTCCCAGAGCCCACCCCCAGACCTATTAAATCAGAATTCCCAGGGGAAAGCCCCAGTCATCTGTCTAAGTAACAAGCATCCCAAGTGATTCTTATGTTGCAAGTTTGGGAAACTGTGTTAAAGCATCTAAAAGAAGGTTATTTTTCTTTATAATGCTCATGAGCTGTTGAAGGAGTGAATACTGACCCTGAAAAAGATGCATAAAATGAATAGAATCTTACAGATCAGATTCTAAGTTCATACAAGGAAAAGATCAGTGTCGTTCTAACTGATCAAACTACATTGCTTTAAAACAGTGATTTTCCTACATTCGGATTTACTTAAGCACTGCTGCAGTAAAACCAGCCAATCTAATCCTGATGCTGTAACCAGGTAGCCTGGGGCTTTTGCACCAGGAGAAAAGGCTCCTGAGACCAGAAGCCAAGGTTGTTTCAGCCCAAGGAATGCTTATGAAGAGAGGACAGTACTGATACAAGGCAGTTCACCCGAGACTAAGAGCAAAGACCCTGGAAACCCCTTTCATCTCTGGCACGCATCACCACGCAAAAACCAAACCCCATATCCCAAGCAACGGTAGGTGAATGCCCACCCAGTGGAGCTGCCATAGGCAAAATAGCTCATGCAGCTCTTTGCAGTTTGTAATCTTTTGTCCTTTCCTTCCTCTTAGTGCTTTGCACTTCCATGCCATTCTCTTGTCCAGAAATGCCCTTTCTTGGCTTTATTCATGGGATTAGTGCATCCTTCTAAATGCTACTCCAATGTCACCTCTTCCAGGAAGCTCTCCTGAACTTTTCCCCACCCAGCGTGGGCCCCATGGTGGGTGTGGCAATGCTTCCTTTCCTCAGTGTGGCAATGCTCCCTTTCTCTTCCCATCGCTTTTTAAAGGCAGGGACTGTGTCTGTCCTTTTTGACTTTGTCTGCCCAGCACACAAATAAGCAGCCAGTGTGTAAAGGCAGGGAGGGGAGGACCAAGGGAGGGCCAAGCAAGGGGAGAGAGAGTACTGGGTGATTCACCATGAGCTGACAATATTATTAGCAACTGGGAGAGTCCAGGTGAAGTTCACAAAACTTCCCTAAATAGAGTCCATGCATGTGTTTCAGTGGGATATGTTGCCATGTTAAAAGCTTGCTCCAGCAATATTGATGGGCCAAATATGGACTGGCTGGGCTTGGAGTGCAGATTTTTACCTGAATACATATCCTAATAATACTGTTAACTGACAAAGAAGTAAACAGTAATCATTTTGTAAAGCATTAGTTCCCCTTTCATAAAATGGTTACTGTCTACCTCTTTGCCAGCGTGGAAAGTTATAGCTAGAAACTATAGCTAGTGCTGTAGAATCCTTTCAGGTCATAGAAAACAAGAATTCATGTCTTTACAGTTTTAATGACTTGTGAAGGCACAGACAAGGAGCTGGTGGAGGCATTAGGCATAGAGAGGATTTACAAGCTAGTTTAATATTTGAAAAGCCTAGATGAGTCATTGTTCAGGTTGTAGAGGTCAGCCCACACTGGGGGTGTGGGCAGAATCCTACAACATGTCTGTCATTAGAAAACTGGGGTGAAACCAAAATCCCAAGAGTATGTGAGAATATTCACAAAATCAGCTCAAAAGGGAAAGACTTTTTTAAAACATTTTTGATTCACCCAACAAGGGATCCTTGAAATGAAGCTGCAGTAGTCAAGCTTGACATTTAAAGAGGAAAGTTAAAAGACTGCTATTTTAAGACATATAAACCACTAAAATAACAACTGAGACCAGGTCTAAACATAGTCAACCAAATCTCAGAGATTAGTGTCCTTGGCCTGTCTCTGCGTGTGTCTAGCAGCCGCTGAGTGATGGCCCTGGGCTCCTTGAATGCCAAGCATAGATTCTACTCATCTTGGTGTCTCCTGTGTGTGTCTCTCTCTCCTCTTTTCTACAGTGCTTTTGTTTGGCCTTCCCACTATTCCTCCTGAATATTCCCATGAAATTTGCAATTGCTTTTCCTATCTAGCAAATTTTCTAAATGCTGTTATGGGTCTTATTTGCTGCAATGAATGGGAAGTTGCCTACATTGCTTTATATTTACCTTTTTATCCCCACTGTCCATATTTTTATATGGATTTTATTTGTATTTACAACATTACTTAATGTAAGTTTTATTTTTCCTTACAATTTGACCCAGTGGTGGTGAAATGACAGTAAACACAGATGCGGGGGGTGGTGGAGGCCCTCCAACACCCAGGCTGCATGACACAGACCAGCCTACAAGCTTCAAGGAGATTTTCTCAGTTTGATCTTGACCAAAAAAAAAAAAAAAAGTCAGCTACGACAAATGATTTTCTTTTGAAGTATTGCCTTACCAGTGGCTCACATTCAAATGTTTACTTGTCAGAAAGTTTCCTCTGTGTGAGAATCATCCTGGGATTTTGCAATAGATGAAAGATTTTGTAAATTTAGTAACATGCATAACCAAAAGCAACTGTAAAACCCTAAAATTAGGCCAGAATTACCAGTGGAACATTCACCATGCATATAATATCCCTGCAAAATCCTTCAAATGAAACTTTACACCTAAAGATCTTGAGGTGATTAATACATGGAGATTATTTCTGCTCTGCAGTGTGGTCAGGAATAAAGCTTAGCCCCTTTGATAAGGGTTTACTCAGACACCCAAGGCACAAATGTCTTTCAATAATAAAGTATTCGAAGGAATGGGGGAGGTGGGGAATCTAGAATGAATTCCAAGTAAATCCCCATTAACATATTACCATGAAGACAAGTCAGTGAACTTTAAACTAATTCATTTTTTAAAAATGAGAACTATGGAGACCAATCTTTGTGGAGTCCCATGAGAACAAAAGCCTCTCAAGTCTGTCCAGAGTCATTCCTTCTCATTGCTGACAAACACTCAGAACAGGTGTGTCACAGTGGTTGTCACCTTGCATAAGGCCTCATTTGCAGGGTTCCCTGTGTGGTAAGAAAGATGGAAAGTGAAAGGAAGGAAGGGAGGAAGGTGGGAAGAAGGAAGGAAGGAAGGAAGGAAGGTAGGAAGGAAGGAAGGAAGGAAGGTAGGAAGGAAGGAAGGTAGGAAGGAAGGAAGGAAGGAAGGAAGGAGGTGTATTAGTCCGTTCTCATGCTCCTGTGAAGAAATGCCCAAGACGGAGTAATTTATAAAAGAAAGAGGTTTAATTAACTCACAGTTCCACAGGGCTGGGGAGGCCTCAAGTATCTTACAATCATGGCAGAAGGGGAAGCAAACACATCCTTCTTCACATGGTGGCAGGAAGGAGAACTGCCGAGCAAAATGGGAAAAGCCCCTTTAAAAAACATCAGATCTCGTGAGAATCACTATCACTCACTATCACGAGAACAGCCTGAAGGTAACCGCCCCCATGATTCAATTACCTCCTACAGGTTCCCTCCCATGACGTGGGGATTATGAGAACTACAATTTAAGATGAGATTTGGGTGGGAACACAGCCAAACTATATCAGCAGGCTAAAAGACCAATTTGAATTCCAAATTTTCTGAGTTTAGATCTATTAAACTGTTAAGAGCTGTTAAGATCCTATCCCTATCCAGTTTTGACAAATTCTAAATGTTTAGAAAAATTGTTTCCAGGTCTAGAGCATAAGTAATTGGGTTGAAAGCATCCAACTAAAACACAGGCTAAAAAAGGCATAAAACCCTCATGATTAGATATATTGGACTGATGTTACTTAGGAAAGTTTTCATGTAAATGTCTGAAAAGAGAGGAGCCCATATTCAAATGATAATATATTTTCAAATTCGATTCCAACTCTCCCATCTATCAGCCAACATGTCTCCATTCATGAAATCAGTTCAAGAAATAACACCAAAAATTATTGGAAAAGTATTGCATGGTAAGTATGGTGCTAATTACTTTGAATATGCTAAGTAATTTAATTTTCACAACAAACCTTATGAGGTCAGTTTTCTTATTATCCTCATTTTATAAATGAGGTAACTGAAGCTCAAAGGTGTTAGGGAACTTATTCAAGGCACCCAACTAGAAAGGAATAGAAACTTGAGTTGAACCCAAATAATGTGGTTCTAGAACTTGTATTTTTTTTTTTTGCTAGTTTCTTATTTATTTATTCATTTATTTTAAATTTAAGTTCCAGGTTACATGTGCAGGACATGCAAGTTTGTTACATAGGTAAACGTGTGCCATCGTGGTTTGCTGCACCTATCAACCCATCACCTAGGTGTTAAGCCCAGCAACCATTAGCTATTTTTCCTGATGCTCTCCCTCCTCACACTTCACCCCAACAGGCCCCAGTGTGTGTTGTCCCCCTCTCTGTGTCCATGTGTTCTCATTGTTCAGCTCCCACTTATACGTGAGAACATGCAGTGTTTGGTTTTCTGTTCCTGTGTTAGTTTGCTGAGGATAAAGCCTTCTAGCTCCATCCATGTCCCTGCAAAGGACATGATCTCCTTCCTTTTTATGGCTGCATAGTATTCCATGATGTATATGTACCACATTTTCTTTACCCAATCTATCACTGATGGACATTTGGGTTGATTCCATGTCTTTTGTGAATAGTGCTGTAGTGAATATACGTGTGCATGTATCTTCATAATAGAATGATTTATATTCCTTTGGGTATATACCCAGTAATGGGATTGCTGGGCCAAATGGGATTTCTGGTTCTAGGTCTTTGAGAAATTGCAACACTGCCTTCCACAATGGCTGAACTAATTTACACTCCCACTAACAATGTAAAAGTGTTCCTATTTCTCCACAGCTTTGCCAGCATCTGTTGTTTCTGGACTTTTTAATACTCACCATTCTGACTGGTATAAGATAGTATCTTGTTGTGGTTTTGACTTGCATTTCTCTAATGATCAGTGACGTTGAGCTTTTTTTCATATGTTTGTTGGCTGCATAAATGTCTTCTTTTGAGAAGTGCCTGTTCATGTCTTTTCCCCACTTTTTAATGGGATTGTTTGTGTTTTTCTTGTAAATTTGTTTAAGTTCCTAGTAGATTCTGGATATTAGAACTTTGTTGGATAGATTGCAAAAACATTCTCTCATTCTGTAGGTTATGATAGTTTCTTTTGCTGTGCAGAGGCTCTTTAGTTTAATTAGATCCCATTTGTCGATTTTTGCTTTTGTTGCAATTGCTTTTGACATTAATTAATTTTTGTATAAGGTGTAAGAAAGTGGTGCAGTTTCAATTTTCTGCATATGACTAGCCAGTCTTCCCAGCACCATTTATTAAATAGGGAGCCCTTTCCCCATTGCTTGTTTTTGTCAGGTTTGTTAAATATCAGATGGTTGTATATGTGCATCTTATTTCTGAAATCTCTTTTCTGTTCCACTGGTCTATGTGTCTGTTCTTGTACCAGTACCATGCTGTTTTGGTTACTGTAGCCTTGTAGTATAGTTTGAAGTCAGGTAGTGTGATGCCTTCAGCCTTATAGAACTTATATTCTTAAATACTACTTTTAATATTTTGAGAAATTAATATTTTGAGAAATACTTTGAGATAATATTTTGAGAAATTATCATCATGGTACTGAATAAAATGGTATATATGAGCATGCACTACAGGCTGCTTGGAGTCACCAGTATCCAGTGTCTCTGATTATACTTTCTCACCCACAGGCAGGAATGTGTAACCAGTTCAGGCCAAGAAGTTGTGAGTGGCAGTGACGTGTGCATTGAATTCTAGCATGAAACTTTCCACCATTCTCCTCCCCTGCTTATAGTAGTTGAGGGAGAAGCTTCATGCTAAAGTGAGGAAGCCACAGACAGAAGCCAGTGAGGACACCGATATCTGAGAAGTGTGCCCCACACCTCCTCCCAGACCTACTTGCCCTACTATTACAGTCCTGTTCTTTTCCAGTTCTTGACCAGCCTGTTATCCACTACACATGAATCAGCATAAATTTGAAACTTGAGTCAGTGGAAAACCAGACGTATCACCCCAAATTCATCCCGCTCTATCAAATTCACAGTTTATTTTTGTGTTGATGGGTAGAATCAGGATACAGTAGCTGTTGGCACTACTTCTTGCTGGTATCACACCAGGAAGACCTCTGCTGTGCATTCCCCTTTGCCTGTCCAGGTCCATGCCCACCTTACTCCATGTTCCAGGAGCCAGACCTTTATCAAGTGCATCAGACAGACTCCCTTGCTCTCTGGCTTCCAGTTGGATTTGGCCAGCTGGTGGCAGTTATTGAAATGAGCCAATTATGGCCTCTGCAAATAGACTCCTGGGTTGTTTATTTCTTCACTGCAGGCTGAGATCTATTACCTCAAAAGCCCACAGGTGTCAAATTCAAGTTGTTGGACATCCAATTATTTTAAAAATAGCCCAACTAAGCAGATCTGGGGCTAGTTAGAGCCCATGTGCTCTGCATACTCCAGGACACCTCATCCTGCATCTGTTGGCCATTATAAGATAAAGCCTCATGGTTGCAAGCTCCCCAAGCCACTTCGGCCCTTCAGAGCTCTCCGACTTGAGCCCCCACTATCATGCTTCTGAGTGGCATCACCTGGACACGTAAGCTCCTCCTCTAATCCTCCTCTCCCCAGGAGTTCCCTTGCTCTCCTCCCCTTCTGGGTGTGTCCCTCCCATAAGCCACTGGCTAGTCTCCTGCTGTGAGGGATCCTTTATGTGATCCTATCCAAGCGCTGCCCAGTGAAGCTTGCTGGGTGTTACTGCTTCTCGTGGTCAAGTCTTCTTCTTCGGTCAGCTCCAAATCCCTTGAATCCCTTTTAAAGGCATCAGGAGAAAACTTGAGCTTGAGGGGTGAGAGAGGTCAGTGTATTCATCCTTTGAACTTTCTTTCTCCAAAATTACAACTTGGCAATGATGGTATACTTTCCCCAAATCCACAGATCTTTTGGAGGGAGGCAGCCTTCTCTGTCTAATGCAGGCCTCCTCAGGTTCTCAAAGTCATCACCTTTGCTTGCGGTTTCAGGCCTAGCATGTTATCCGTTTCTCAGTGTTGTTAGCCCTGGGGTGCTAACTATTCCTTATTTCCCTTAACCCTGCCTACCCATATGTAAATACATACTATTTAGATGGCTTGTCTGTTTCATCAAAGACCCCATTTCATACCAAGGTCCTTACTTTTTCACAAGATACATCCATTAACTAGGCCCACTGTTTTCCCTATTCTGTTCATTTTATACAGGAAACTCCCAATGAGGCCATAGATTCAGCTTGAAGGAGAGGTTATGAGGCAATAGGAAAAGGTAACGTGGTATCTGAATCCCTGTGCATGCATGCCACTTACCTGTGCCCTCTGGCACCTGCTTAGCTCCATCCCACACATACTGTTTTCTTTAATAATGAATGCAATGTGGCACAACTTTATAATTCAATTCATTGTGTAATATCCAGTTCACAATGGGCATCTACCATGTTGTCACTTGGTATCCCACGGTTAGACATTCCATCTCTGCAAGGGACAAGTAGCAAGTCAGGAGCTGCCCTGCAAGTGGAAAAGAATTGTTGTAACCACAAAAGGGCATAGCCTTCCTCTAAAACCTCAGGCATCTGCTCTGCCAGTCTCCTATTGAGACTTGCCTGTCCTTCATACCACAGCCTCACTTGCCACAGACTCCCAGTGCCATTGTGCTTGTCGGTTTATTTTCTCAAAGATTAGAACAGCTTGAAGAAGAGCTTAGAGCCATTACAGTCTTTTCTTATGCTGAGCTTACTCAGCAGGTTTACAGAGCAGCACGCTCAAATGTGGTACGTGTTGCCTACAAAATTGAAAGAGAACCACTCAGCATTGTGCCTTTTTCTCCATGGTGGGCAGAACAAGATTCAATGGTTTGTCACTCACTTTACTTCTTGCCGTTTTGCTTTGGTTTTCTGTAAGTCTCGTATCTTTCTTATTCTTTAATTCTTCCATGCTAGCTTCTTTGTGTTTAATTGATTTTTTATAGTGTATGATCTTTATTCCTTATTCATTTCCTCTTCAGAAAAGTACATTTTTATTAATAGTTGCTTTCTTAGTTGTTACCTTGGGTGTTACAATTAGGATCTTAAATTAGTAACAATGTAGTTTGAATTAATATCAATTTACAGACTCGGTACTATACAAAACTCTTTCATGCAGCTCCATTTCTCCCTTTTCAGATTGCTATATCGTCACAAATCACATCTTTAGACTTTGTGTGCCCATTAACATAGATTTATAATTATTGTTTCATGCCTTTGTCTTTTAACTCATCAAGGAAAAAAGTAAGCTGTAAACCAAAAATACAATAATACTGGTTTTAGTATTTACCTATGTAGTTACCTTTACACTTGTATTTTATTTCTTCCTATGGCAAGTTATTGCCTCCTGTCTGAATCTGAACGGTTCCCTTTAGCATTTCTTTTTTTTGAGATGGAGTCTTGCTCTGTCGCCCAGGCTGGAGCGCAGTGGTGTGATCTCAGCTCACTGCAAGCTCCACCTCCAGGTTCACATCATTCTCCTGCCTCAGCCTCCCGAGTAGCTGGGACTACAGGCTCCCGCCACCACGCCCGGCTAATTTTTTTGTATTTTTAGTAGAGACAGGGTTTCACCATGTTAGCTGGGATGGTCTCAATCTCCTGACCCCGTGATCCGCCCACCTCAGCCTCCCAAAGTGCTGGGATTACAGGCATGAGCCACTGCGCCCGGCCCCCTTTAGCATTTCTTATAGGGCAAGCCTGTCAGGAAGGAACTTCCTCAGCTTTTGTTTAGCAGAGAATGCCTTAATCTGTCCTTCAGTCTTGAAGAATATTTTTGCTGAATATGAAAAGCATTTTTTTCTTTCAGCACTTTAAATGTGTCATTCCACTGCCTCTGGTCCCATGGTTTCTGCTGTTAATATAACTGACAGTCCTTTGTATGTGCTGAGTCTGTTATCTTGCTGCTTTCGAGATTTGATTTTGGCTTTTGACTTTGACTATAAGGTGTCTTCTTGTGCATCTCTTTGAGTTTATTCTAACCAAAAAGAAGTTCATTGAGCTTCTTGAATGAATAGGTTCATGTATTTGTCAAATTGGGAGGTTTTAACTATTATCTCATCAAATATTCTCCCTGCCCCGTTCTCTCTCTCCTTGCCTCTGGGACTTCCATTATGCCTTGGTTGATGCACTTGATGTTGTTGCTTGAGTCTTTTAGGCCCTCTTCATTTTTCTCCATTTCTTTCTTTTTTCTGCTTCTCAGACTAGATTGTTTCATTTGACCTATTGACTCTTTTTTCTGTCAGCTAAAATCTGCTATTGAACCCCCTCATACGTTTTTCATTTTAGTAATACTTTTCAATTCCAGAATTTATATGTGATTCATTTTCATAATTTCATTCTCTTCTTGTAATTTTTTACATATTGAGATATTATTCTTCTTGTGCTTTTTGCTCTTTGTCCATGGTGTTCTTTAGATCATTGAGCATGTTTTAGACAGTAGACTTAAAGTTTTTGTCTAGTAAATCCAGTGTCTTCGCTCCCTCAGGGAGAGTTTCCGTTAATTTATAGTTTTTCCCTGTAAAGGCATCATAATTTCTGGCTTCTTTGCATATTTCATAATATTTCTTATTGAAGTTGAATATTTTTGAATTTTAAAATATCCATTGTCAAGTGACTTTTGAATGAATTTGTTGGAAATTTGATATTTTTAATATTACAATATGAAAAAGGAGAAATAAAATGAAGAAGGAAGAAAAGGAAAGGAATGGAAATGTTCCCAGGTATTTTCAGATTGGCTCTGTGTTAAGACACTCCACTTAGCCAGGCCATTTACAACTCTGCCTTAGCCTTCACTTCCTGTCTGTGGTTACCTCAAGACCAGCCAAAGGTGAAAGTTTACCAGCCATAAACTTTCTCAGTTCCTTTCTGAGTGTGTGTCCTTCCCTGAGCATGTGTGCGGCTTTTTAAGTTCCCCATACATGCAGTAGCTTTTCAAAACCTCTATTCCACCCCCAACAAATCATACTTCCTAAGTATTCCCACTCAGCTTTTTGCATGCCTATTGTTTGCCCAACTTTTGGCTTTTATTGCTTTTGAGAACCACATAGCTGTTTCAGTCTGACAAGGTACAGATTAGGCTTAAAAAAGGAAGCCCTTGCCACAGTCCTCTGGAGAAAGCACAGTCAGGTCAAAACAGACAGACACATTCCTCAGGGAAAACGCCCACGCTTCTCCCCTTGAATCAGGTAACCATGCTGGAAGTGCAGACTGCAGTCTTCAAGAGGGCCACTGCAGCAGGGAAGGGGTTGCTGGGGTCACGGTAAGCTAAAATGCCATGAAGCTCTCTTACCCTTTTTCAGTGGCCTTTCTCCTGGCTAAACATTTACTTGGTTGTTGCAAATCTTTTTTTTTTCTCAGTGCCATGGGAGGGATGGGCCCTAGAGGTTCCTATTCTTCCATTTTCACTGACATCATCTCTCACCAATCTTCTCTCCCACTTTAATGGAAATATCCCACATGTTCCAACCACTCTACTCCTAGAAACTTCACTAAGGCCTAAGAACTTTCTCAGGGTTTGTTTCCATCCCTCTGTTTTACAAAAGCTTCTGGGACAATTCATGTTTCTTATTTCTATGCCCAGTAATCACACAGACAAACCATAATGCTGTATGGGAAATCAAGAAAATTAATGTGATTTAAATATAACAGAGACCAGAACTGATAGAATCCTGATATGAGGCAGTGAGTGTGTACTGCTGCTCCATCCAAATGAAACTGATCTGGGCTGGGCACGGTGGCTTATGCCTATAATCCCAGCACTTTGGGAGGCTGAGGCGGGCAGATCATGAGGTCAGCCTGGCTAACATGGTGAAACCCCATCTCTACTAAAAATACAAAAAAAACAATAGCGGGTGTGAGCCTACCAACCAAAAAAAGTCCAGGACCAGATGGATTCACAGCCGAATTCTACTAGAGGTACAAAGAGGAGTTGGTACCATTCCTTCTGAAACTATTTCAATCAATAGAAAAAGAGGGAGTCCTCCCTAATTCATTTTATGAGGTCAACCTCATCCTGTTACCAAAGCCTGGCAGAGACACACACACAAAACGGAGAATTTTAGACCAATATCCCTGATGAACATCGATGCAAAAATCCTCAATAAAATACTGGCAAACCAAATCAAGCACCACATCAAAAAGCTTATCCACTACGATCAAGTTGGCTTCATCCCTGGGATGCAAGGCTGGTTCAACATACACAAATCAATAAACATAATCCATCACATAAACAGAACCAAAGACAAAAACCACATGATTATCTCTATAGATGCAGAAAAGGCCTTCAACAAAATTCAACAATCCTTCATGATAAAAACTCTCAATAAACTAGGTATTGATGGGACGTATCTCAAAATAATAAGAGCTATTTATGACAAACCCACAGCCAATATCATACCGAATGGGCAAAAACTGGAAGCATTCTCTTTCAAAACTGGCACAAGACAGGGGTGCCCTCTCTCACCACTCCTACTCAACATAGTGTTGGAAGTTCTGGCCAGGGCAATCAGGCAAGAGAAAGAAATAAAGGGTATTCAAGTAGGAAAAGAGGAAGTCAAGTTGTCCCTGTTTGCAGATGACAAGATTGTATATTTAGAAAACCCCATCGTCTCAGCCCAAAATCTCCTTAAGCTGATAAGCAACTTCAGCAAAGTCTTAGGATACAAAATCAATGTGCAAAAATCACAAGCATTCCTATACACCAATAACACAGAAACAGAGAGCCAAATCATGAGTGAACTCCCATTCACAATTGTATTCAAAGAGAATAAAATACCTGGGAATCCAACCTACAAGGGATGTGAAGGACCTCTTCAAGGAGAACTACAAACAACTGCTCAACGAAATAAAAGAGGACACAAACAAATGGAAGAACTTTCCATGCTCATGGATAAGAAGAATCAATATTGTGAAAATGGCCATACTGCCCAAGGTAATTATAGATTTAATGCCATCCCCATCAAGCTACCAATGACTTTCTTCATAGAACTGGAAAAAACTACTTTAAAGTTCATATGGAACCAAAAAAGAGCCTGCATAGCCAAGACAATCCTAAGCCAAAAGAACAAGGCTGGAGGCATCACACTACCTGACTTCAAACTATACTACAAGGCCGCAGTAATCAAAACAGCATGGTCCTGGTACCAAAACAGAGATATAGACCAATGGAACAGAATAGAGTCCTTGGAAATAATCCCACACATCTACAACCATCTGATCTTTGACAAACCTGACAAAAACAAGAAATGGGGGAAGGCTTCCCTATTTAATAAATGGTGCTGGGAAAACTGGCTAGCCATATGTGGAAAGCTGAAACTGGATCCCTTCCTTACACCTTATACAAAAATTAATTCAAGATGGATTAAAGACTTAAATGTTAGACCTAAAACCATAAAAACTCTAGAAGAAAACCTAGGCAATACCATTCAGGATATAGGCATGGGCAAGGACTTCATGACTAAAACACCAAAAGCAATGGCAACAAAAGCCAAAATTGACAAATGGGATCTAATTAAACTAAAGAGCTTCTGCACAGCAAAAGAAACTAACAGAGTGAACAGGCAACCCACAGAATGGGAGAAAATGTTCGCAATCTACCCATCTGACAAAGGGCTAATATACAGAATCTACAAAGAACTTAAACAAATTTACAAGAAAAAATCAAACAACCCCATCAAAAAGTGGGCAAAGGATATGAACAGACACTTCTCAAAAGAAGATATTTATGCAGCCAACAGACGCATGAAAAAATGCTCATCGTCACTGAATGCTCATGCATTTCTCATCAGAAATGCAAATCAAAACCACAATGAGATACCATCTCACACCAGTTAGAATGGCGATCATTAAAAAGTCAGGAAACAACAGGTGCTGGAGAGGATGTGGAGAAACAGGAATGCTTTTACACTGTTGGTGGGACTGTAAACTAGTTCAACCATTGTGGAAGACAGTGTGGCGATTCCTCAAGGATCTAGAACTAGAAATACCATTTGACCCAGCCATCCCATTACTGGGCATATACCCAAAGGATTTATAAATCATGCTGCTGTAAAGACACATGCACACGTATGTTTATTGCGGCACTATTCACAATAGCAAAGACTTGGAACCAACCCAAATGTCCAACAATGATAGACTGGATTAAGAAAATGTGGCACATATACACCATGGAATACTATGCAGCCATAAAAAAAGGTGAGTTCATGTCCTTTGCAGGGACATAGATGAAGTTAGAAACCACCATTCTGAGAAAACTATCGCAAGGACAGAAAACCAAACACCGCATGTTCTCACTCAAAGGTGGGAATTGAACAATGAGACCAACACTTGGACACAGGGTGCGGAATGTCACACATCAGGGCCTGTCGTGTTGTGGGGGGAGGGGGAGGGATAGCATTAGGAGATATACCTAAAGTAAATGACGAGTTAACGGGTGCAGCACACCAATGTGGCACATGTATACATATGTAACAAACCTGCACATTGTGCACATGTACCCCAGAAGTTAAAGTATAATAATAATAAAATAAGATAAAATAAAATAAGCAGCCAGGTGTGATAGCGGGCACCTGTAGTCCCAGCTACTCGGGAGGCTGAGGCAGAAGAATGGCATGAACCCGGGAGGCAGAGCTTGCAGTGAGCTGAGATCGCGCCACTGCACTCCAGCCTGGACGTCCAGCCTGGGCAACTGAGCGAGATTCTGTCAAAAAAAAAAAAAGTAATCTGTTTATCTTTACCTTTGCTCATTAGAGGATTATACATATCATTACAAAGAAGCATTTCCTCTAGTAAAGACGCAACATCCAGAAAATTGTAGCTGTGGGCATTAAGTTTATGATAATCCAGAGTCATTCTGCGAGACCCATCTCATTTTGCATAAGGCTCATAGGTGAGTTAAGCGAAAATGCAATAAAAATCACTACTCTGCATCTTTCACATCTTTTAAGGTGACATAAATCTCTGCAACTCCCCCAGTAATGAAGCATTGCTTTTGGTTTACCATTTTGCTGAGAGGTGACGGGAAGTGGGCAATTCTAGGGGCTTCCACTTGACTCTTTTTACTCTAAGAGCCATCGCTACATGGATCAGTAACCAGTGGTCTGCCGGTTAGAAAGGTATCTGTTCTGCCTGTGCATTTTGGGACTGGGACTGACCAGGATTTGTGGCTTGTGGTCATTCTGGATCCATTATAAGAAAGACTCAGGTTGTATCACCTGACTTTCATAAGGCCCCACTTTTACTTATAGAGGCGTTTTTAGTTTCCTGGAATAGCACCGAACTCAGAGCCAGCATTAATAACCCCTGAAAACAGCTATTTTTGTTTCTCAGGAAACAGTCACGATGGCTGAGGATAATCTGTGGATGGCTTAAAGAATTCCACATATGTGGAATAAATCCAGTGTCCTTACTTATGGGAAACTTCAAATAAGGGGCTCTGGAGCTGTTACCTGGATAAGAGAGAGCGAGTGCCCCTATAGCGATTTGAATCGGGTTTCTGCCACCACCACACTTAGACATTCCCCACTTATGCAGGTCAAGAAGGAACTTAGTGTGCCTCTGATCACTTATTTAAGCATAGTCCATAGATTCTGACGTGATATTTTCATTATCATTATTTACAATTCTGTAATTTCTATTTGTACTTCCCTTTGCCTAAGAGTTGTTTAATAGAATGTTTTCCATTTTTCATGTGGTAAGACATTTTTGTTTTGTTAATACTTTTTACTTTTATTGCATTGTGCCTAGATAGTGTAGTTTGAAATACTTCTTCTTTATGACATTTATTGATGTTTTATTTGTGACCTAATATATGATCAACTTTTGTGAATAATCAGGTGTCTGAGATAAAGTGAGGGTCATTATCACAGTATAAAATTGTACGCCCACAACATCTGTCTCAAAGGCTATGTTGTTTGGATCTTGTTTCTCATTGTGTGTTTTTGCTCACCTGTTCCCTCTCCTACTGAGAGTGGCATATTAAAGTCCCCTCTTGTCAGAGGCTTTCCAGCTATGTCTCCTTTCAGCTCCTGTAGCCTCTGCTTTATGTGAATGTTTTCTTCCTTGTCTAACTGCTAATTTCTTTTTTTTTGGTTGTTGTTTAGTGCTGTAGGCCTTAGGGAAACGGAAAGAGAGGAGGGATTCCAAAACCCAGCAGAGCTGTGGCCTAGGATAGGGAGGAGCTGGGAGCTGGGATCATACGTAAGGGGCATAGCCATTGAGAAACCAGTCGGGAAGTGGGATATGGGGGAAGCCACGCCCAACCCCTTCTCCTCCAGCCTTCTGATTTCACGCCAATGCCCCCATCGCATGAACCCAAGCTGAAGCCAGAGGGTGAGGGGACCAGCTAGATGCTGAATGTAAAGGGGCCCAGAGCAGGGCAGAACGGGGGAGTGGACCTGGTAGGGCAAATGCAGAATAACAAGGCGAGGCTATGAGTGTGTGCTATTGGGGCACAGAGACGTCCTGATTCAGCCTCATACCCCAGTGTCCAAAACAATTTTAGCTAACACGTCCCCAAAGTATCTGACTACAGAGCACTTTACAAATTATAACATAATTTTAAAGAAAATAAGAGCTCTTAAATTATAATGCTGCTGAGATTAAAATAAATAGCAGAGAAAAAATAATTTGAAATACAAAGTAATTGCTTCAAGATATACTCAAAATTTTATTATTCATTACTTATATTTCATAAAAAATGTAACTATTACCTTATTTCTACTTTATTAAGAATTAATCATGTAAGAGTAGGTGAGATTATTTCACTTTGAATTACTCTTAAAATATGTGGCATCTGCAAATGCAAATATTCTTATGAGAAACAGTTTTTGAGTCTTTTAATTACACAACTGCATCACCTTGGGCATGAGGTACTGAACCGGCTCCTCAGGTCAGCTGAAACAGCAAATGATTTACATACTTTATTTTCGATGCAGTGTTTAATAAATGTCTGGGTTTATACACACAGTGATGCAAAAAAATATTTTGTATTATTTGCATCAGTTAAGTTATTCAGTTATTGTTCTATCTTGAATGTCTTCAAATGTTATGAAAGTTAGAGACTTTGGTTATCCATCTTCTTTTGGAAATATTCAAAGCATGCTTGCTTTCTTGTCTTGACTTTTTCAAGCACTGTCTGTGCACTTCAGAGCCCTCCTTTCTATTGAAACATTTCTCCCAGCAGCTTCAGATCCCTGATGAATGGCAGATTTTAACATGATAAATGTTTAACCTATTCATTCTGAATAATATGAACAGAACAGTGTGGAGAAAAATTAATTAAAATTTCTCTTAGGAAGAGTTGTGTTTTGTGTCTGTGTGTGTTATAAGGACTGCCTTGAGAAGTTCAGGGCATGATAGAGAGAGAAATAGGCATTTGGAGTTTCTGGGGAAGAGGGGGTCGGCACTCTGGGTTGGAGGGTATTCAAAGGAGACGCAAGAGGGGAAAGGAAGGAGCGTGATCCTAGGGAGATGGCAGCTGGTTCTTCCCTGAAACACCCAGACCTTTATAAACCCTACAGAACTCAGGTGTGCTTGGTGTGAAAGGATTTGGGGGTAGAAACCCTAAAAAGGGACAGCTTTATCTACAGGGCGGGCCATTGCTGCTAGAGCCTTATAAGCCTCAGCAGACATCTGGGTTACAAAATTCAAGATCAAATACCTTCTGCTGCCCAGAAACTCTGGAGGAGTCACAGCAGCAACTTTCACAGCTAGTTGCTGGGTGCTGCTTATGCACCAGGGCATGGAAAGAATAGCATGCATTCCTCTGGCTTCTAGAAGGAAGACTGTCACATTTTAGTAAGAAAAATTCCATAAATATATAGAGTTTTCATAAGATAGACAGATAGAAAATTGATAGAGATGATAGAGAAATAGATTAGATAGATAGATAGATAGATAGATAGATAGATAGATAGATAGATAGATAGATAATTTTTGAAGAACAACTGCCACTTAGCATTATTGAAGAAGACATGGCTTTTTGGGAGGAATAGCTCTCAACACAGTCCTGCTGCTTCATCCTAAATGTCCAGCTTCCCATCAGGAATATTCCAGACATGGAAGAAGAGAGTTCTGGTAAAAGAATGGGAAGAATGATAAAAATTAAGAAAAACAAAACATTATGTTTCCTGCATGCTGAAGAAATCTACTTCAAAAAGGCAGCTATGATCCTGTATCATTGTTCTCACTTTTCCCAGCTGTGGAATTTAAAAAATAAAGCCTTAAGGAGTGAATAAAGAATGATTAGAAAACATGAGGACCTTCACTGATCAAACACACATTGTTCACTTGGACTTGTCCAGACTATATGAGCGACACTTGGAACCAAGTACTTCTTTTTGCCACTGGATTTATAAAGTAATTTATATTCGTATTGGGCAATTCTTTTCTCTTCAAGGCAATGCAAGTCAATATAATACAAAGTAACATTCTTTTCTTGCTAACAGGCAACCTTATTCATTTACTTATTTGCTCAGAAATATGTAGTTGGCACTTAAGAAGTTCAAGACTGGAAATGCTGGTGGCAAAATCACATGCAATTCGACTTCATTACAAATAAGCCACCCTGCTACAGCTCCATCCTGTCGGAAAGGTGATTTTCAGATATTGAGGAAAACGCAAAAGTCTGGCAGCTTTACTTACTTAAAAGTAATGGAACTTCAAAAGTATATTAAATTAGCATGTTTGTCATTATGTGAGAAACTTCACATTTACATTTACCTGCTGTGTGATTTTTAGAAACAAACCAGGTGTATGGAATATGGCACCAAATAACAAGCAGACTAGAGAGCCTTACAAACTAGCGTTACTTCTACTTCAAGGTCCACAAAATGTTTCCTCTTTTATAATAGCATTCCCTTTCCTTGTTTTTAATTGTCTAGTAATCAGCACTCTACTAGTGTCATTCAAACCCATGGTAATTTGCTATAGCCATTACTGCAAAAGGCAGGCATCTTGCTCTGATTTTCTACAGAGCAAGATGTCTCCCTGTACTAAGTCCCCAGAGGGAAGCAAGCTGGTTACTCAGAACTTCTGTGTTGTTTAATGAGTAACAAATACTCCTTTCAGCTGCAGTATATTATCTCATATTTGACACTCCAAGGTATGCACCGGCCTTGGACAGGACATAGCATCAGCTCTTTGGAAGATCCGGTTTGCAGGATTTTCTGTTAGTTGACTACACCCTCCTAGTGACCAAAAAGAGGCCAACTGTCCCCCTATCAGAGGCTAAACGATTGCCAAGTTCACGCTTGCTCTGCCTGGGAGCCAGCTGAGCCAGCTGGGCCACATAGTGCCTGTCCACTGAGGCATTCAACTTCCCGAACTGTGAGGACTCCAGCTCATCCCCAGGCTCCTCAAAGCAACCTCAATCTCTTTGCATAGTTTCCTGACCCTGCTTATTTTAAGGAGGCAAAGACTTGGAAGGGGCTTTCCTGCAGTGCCCCCTAGGACAGAGATCCCCTACCTGCATGATCATCAAAATCAACGGGAAAAGTTTCAAAATCATATTCCTGCTACAACCCAGGCAGCAGGGTCAATCGTACTGGGTACAGAGACCCTGAGCCCAGCAGAAGGGATGCCATTGCCCTGAAGCTGTGGCTAAGGAACCACAGTGTTCAGACAGCAATAGTTCAGCTTGGGACATCCAGAGGTTGGTCTGGTTGAAATTCCAACAAGTCTAAAATTCTGATAATTCTATGATGATGGCTATAAATGCATAAGCATTCTTTTTTGGTACTTAGAGGAATAAAAATAAGATGTAGTAAGCACAGAGTCCAGGATACAGGCAAAATTTTAGCCAGAAAGGGGAATTCATGTGGCCTCTGCCTGGCCTTTATCAAGTCACCTTTTAAATTAATGTCGTAATTGAGTTACAAGTCCAATCCTGTGCAGGTCCAGTTAATTCCTTCTTAAGGAGCTGATAATGAATAATTGTCTGCCAACTTCAAGCGGTTTGTTCCTGGACAAAGTCTAAGCCCTGGACCCCTGGAAAGGCAGGATTCTGAGAACTAAGTGCTACAGGGAACAGGGCCTGGCTGGGAAAAGGTGGCGTTCTGCTGATGAAGCTATTTTTGATCACCTATTGCTTTAGGTCTAGTTGAGGGAGAGAGGTGACTCACACATACATAGTCTGAATAATTTATATAACCTGTCTCAGGCTGTGTAAACACAAGTGATCACATTAACCTTTTCAACATTAGAAATAGAAATACTTGCTAGTTCCATATATAGAAGGGGAAAATGAAGCAAAGAGAAAATGAGTAATTATCTCCAGGAATGAGGTGCACAGAAAATGAGTAATTATCCCCAGGAATGAGGTGCACAGAAAATGAGTAATTATCCCCAGGAATGAGGTGCACAGAAAACGATTAACTATCCTGAGGTTACAGAGAGGTTTGTCCTCCGATTTTAGAGATAGATTCTCTTTGAAAGTGACAGGAGAGCTTTGACGGGGTAGGAACAGGGGGATGTCACATGGCAGCCACGGGAGATAAGAATATTTGAGTTAATGAATGTGGAGTCTTGGGACTAATACAGGTGGCAAGTGTATGATTTAAACAACCATATATTTGTTGTTGTAATGTCCTGTTACAGTGTCCACACCCTGGCACATCCACACCATGGAACGCTACTCAGCAATGAAAAGGAACAACGTTCTGATATACACAGCACTTTGGAGGCATCTCAAGGGAAGCATCCTGAGTGGGAGAAAAACACCAAAAGGTGGCATATCGTATGATTCCACTTATATAACAGCTTATTTAACATGTCTGAATGAGAAAATTATGGAGAAGGAGAACAGGTTAGTGGCTGCCAAGGACTAGGGAGGGGTTGGGTAGAAGTTGGTAGTGGTTATAAAAGGGCAGCACACGGGATCCCTGTGGGGAGCTGCTCTCTG